>NC_000001.11:53038683-53190198 GCF_000001405.40 Homo sapiens | reverse complement strand
ATTTTTATCTCTAAAATTGGTGAGGATTTTTTGGTTTTATGTCATAATGTATGTTTGTTTTAACAGAAAAATACTTTTCTTCAGGTTGTATGAGCTTCAATAAGTTATTCCACCTCTCTGCTCTTCAGCTTCCTTATCTGTAAAAGGGAGATGGTAGTCTTCACTTGACAGAATTTATGCTACACCTAATACAGGTCCTGACATCTGAAACACCAGTCACTGTAACTTGTTTTGCACACAGCTAAACCATAAGCAAAGTCTTCCCCATATATATGAGGATATGTGAACGATGCTGCTTGTTGACTGACCCAGCCCATCCAAAACACTCCTCCTTAGCTACCTTCCAGCTGTAGGCGGCTGTGTGAAATGAGATGGACACAGAATTCTACTGGGTGTGGACTCCAGGAAAGCTTTTGTCTTCTCAATAGAGAGTGGCAGAGTTGGCTGGCAAGGCCCGGTTTTCCCCACTTTGCCCTTCTTGCTTCTGCCTACCTGGAGGATGCTTGGAGATGCACTGCCATCTTGCAGCCTTTGGGCCGCAAACCAACATGCCAAAGGTGACAGTGTGAAAAGACAGAGGGGCCTAGAACGCTGACGATTGTGTAAAGGGGCTGCTGCTCTAGCCTACAAGTACCTTCCCCTGCCTTTTTGCCTGTGAGACAAATCATTTGATGTGTATCATCTCTGTCTATGTTATATGTTTAAAACAAAGTTAATAGCCAAACAGATTCCTCACTGATGCACTATCCCCCAAAGTATGAGACATTAAATAACTAAGTTTACACAGAGACAGTCCATGAAACATCAGACGAACAAAAGTGTGGTAAAGGAATCCATTTGTAAGCCATTATCAGTTCTCAAAGAGAGTCACAGTAATCAGAAGGCCAACTTTGAACTTGAGATAATCAGAGACAGTAGTCAGACGACAGACGTAAAAATCAGATTAAACCTTCCCGTTCCTCTGTGAAGCGTGGGTGGAGTTGTTTATTAGCTCTGCAGGGCAGTAGCTTGAGAATATGGCAGGACTAAGATGAGGTGGTCCTTTAAGGATGAGTGAGTTTGGAGCAAACTTGAAGCCTGAGAGGAGCAGCCAGGGGGAAGGCAGAGATTAGAGAGAGGTGGAAATTAATTGATGGAGAAGAGGGAAATGAGGGGAATGAGTGGAGAAAGGGACATGGCTTTGAAACAGAGACAAAGGCAAAGATGGATCAGGATAACTTCCCCTACCCCTGCCAACTGCTCCAATATCTGTACTTCCATTGCTACTTTGCTTTCATAACCTGTCAGCTCTAAGATTTTGTTGGGAAAAGCTGGGAGCCCTTGATGGATTCTTCTCAAAACTGTCTGAAAATTCCAGTGTTGAGACTCTGGCCCCTATTTCCATATCTGGGAATGTCGAGTTAATGGTAACAGAGTTGTTGAACTCAGGGTCCCTTTATTTATTTTAAATGTATGTATTTATTTGTTTGAGAAGGGTTCTCACTCTGTCATGCAGGCTGGAGTGCAGTGGCCCAATCTCAGCACACTGCAACCTCCACCTCCCAGGCTCAAGCAATCCTCCCACCTCAGCCTCCATAGCTTGGATCACAGGTGCGTGCCACCACACCCAGCTAATTTTTTGTATTTTTGGTAGAGACGGGGTTTTGCCATATTGCCCAGGCTGGTCTCAAACTCCTGAGCTCAGGCAATACATCTACTTCAGACTCCCAAAGTGCTGGGATTATAGGGATGAGCCACCACGCCCGGCCTCAGGGTCCCTTTAAGGCCACACCAGTACACCCCACATGCCAACCAGGAGGGGTTACCCCACCCTTCCCAGTGTTCATATAGGATGTCTACCTTATAGGAGGCGGCCCAACACAGCAAAAGGAATGCCTGATGTTGAGTCAGATAAACCAGAATTGCTCACACACTTGTCATGTGACCGTAAATAAGTCAGTTCATTTCTGAGTCTCAGTTTCCTTTATTAGTAAAATTGGACTAATGCTTATGCTAACTCCTTCTCAAGTTTGTTATATGAAAGGAATTTGCAAACTGCTATGTGCACATGGGAATGTTTAAATTATTGCAAGAACCATGTCTTTCAAGTCCTGCCAAATCTACCTCCTTCATATCTGTCTCATTCCTTGACTGGGTTACTATAATAGTTTGTGACCACTTTCCCTGTTTCTAGCCTAGGTCTCCTGTAGCCAATTCTCCATCCTATTGTCAGTATAATATCTCTTAAACACAAACCGGTAATAATAATAATAGTAACATCAAAATTATAATGTTGAGGCTGAATGTTTGTTTTGTGTTTGCTATTTTCCAACATTCAGTCTTCTTAAAATCCTAGCATTCAGGATGAAAGTCAAACTCCTAACTTAGCACCCCTTCATGATCTTCTTCCTAATGTCTTCTCCAGCCTAGTTACTTACCCTTCCCTTGAGTGAACTCAAGTCTTTTCCAGCATGTTATGTTATTTTACGGCTTTTCCTATTGTTCTAACTTGGTTCTATTCCTTCTTTAAACTCAGTCCTACCCTCACCTCCCACAGAGAAGCCTTCCTTGCCTGTGACCAATCAAGATGGCTAAATCACCACACCCACTGTCCTGGGCTCCCATGCAAGGCATCCTCTGCCCAGCATTTAGCATATGCACTGTCATTGCTGGTTTTTTTGTTTGTTCTCCTTGCCAAATTCACTGCCTGGCAGAGAATAGAAGCTCAACAAATATCACTGATTGAATGAATCAGAATTAGCTGGAGAACAGAATTAGAAAGAATACAGGGCCTTAGGCCAGTGGTCTTCAGTCCTGGCTGAACACTAGAGTCATCTGGCTTGCCTATTAAAACTGTAAATGTCTAAGCTCCACCACTGGAAATTCTGATTCAGTAGATGGAGTGCAAGAGCAGAAAGCCCATACTTTATAAATCTCACTAGATCATTTGAATGTGTAGCCTGGGTAAGACCGCTGTTCTAGACCTTTGCTATTCAAAGAGTTCAATGAATTGGAATCACCTGGGAGCTTGTTAGACCTGTAGGATCTCAGACATCATCCTAGACCCGCTGAAACAGAATCCACAGATCAACAAGATCCCCAGCTATTTCTTAGGTACATTAGAGTTTGAGAAACACTTGTCTAGTCCATTGGACTGGTACCTGCCTCATCCTAGCAACTAGCATCTGTCACTTTGTAATTTATAATGCACATTTCAAATAGTAAAAGAAAAGGCAGCTAAAAATTACTAACTGCCCACCCTGTGCTCTTCGCTGTATCTATGTCATTTCATTTAATCCTCACCTTTCCCATAGAATGTGATCTGGGTTGAGTGTTTGGGTCCCTCACACACACATCACTGAGACACAGGCTGACTTTTTTCACTGCCACGTTCCCAAGTCCCCTCTCTTCACTGCCTTGTGTTGCCGTTGCTCACCAGCTTCTCCCTCAGCCTCGCCCATGCATCTCAGTTTTTTATTGTCAGGTAGGACAGGGGACTGTGGGTGGGGCTGTTGCCTAAGAGGATGTACTTCAGAGGAGCCTGGATTTCTGAGGCCTCACAACAGTCCATAAAGCATTGGAAATATAAAAATAGCCCTTCCTCAGCACCAAGAGGTATTGAGTCATTTCATCAGTGTAAAGTTTGTCTTCCTAGAGCTTGGATTGCTGGCTTGTGTTAAAAAGCAGAAGATGGAATCATCCATGGGGAAGATTCTGGGCATGGAGGATCAGTGGGCCACACCAATGTTAGGGCACCACTGAATCAACTTCTAAAAGATGTCAGGGTCAGTCATATGGGGATAGGGATGCAACAGCTCAGATTCCAGACAACCACACCTAACAGGGCTCCAGAAACTCAACAGGAAACAGTTGGGTTGTAGCCCTAGTTGTCATACTCAGCTCTGGGATCCTGATGGAATGCCAACCATACTTCCCTATTAACTATGGTTGAGTTATGGCATCTTAGGTAAGAATCCATTGGAATCTCTGGAAAGGAAGGGCAGTGGAGATGTGTGGGCGGCAAGCTACCCAGGTGCCGAGGCAAGAGACCAAGGGCACAAGCTGTTCCAGTGTAATAAAGAAAATATATACAATAAGAATAGTTATACTAGAAATAGATTATAGATATGATTATATATGAATATTATTAATCATTAGTTTATAGCATTACTCTTTATTCCAATATTATAATAATCTTTGTTCTACAATTATAACCTAGGAAAAACCAGGCCATACAGAGATAGGAGCTGAAGGGACATGGTGAGAAGTGACCAGAAGACAAGTGTGAGCCCTCTGTTATGCCCAGACAGGGCCACTAGAGGGCTCCTTGGTCTAGCGGTAGCGCCAGTGCCTGGGAAGGCACCCGTTACTTAGCAGACCGGGAAAGGAAGTCTCCCTTCCCCGGGGGGAGTTAGAGAAGACTCTGCTCCACCACCTCTTGTGGAAGGCCTGACATTAATCAGGCCCACCCACAGCCATCCAGAGGCCTAAACGTCTCCTTCTGATGCTGTGCTTCAGCGGTCACGCTCCTGGTCCACTTTCATGTTCTGCCCTGTACACTTGGCTCCACCTTCTAGATAGCAGTAGCAGAAATAGTGAAAGTATTAAAGTCTTTGATCTCTCCAAGAAATACATAGAAGAAATAATGACGTAAGCTGTCCTCTCTCTCTCTTCCTCGACTACCAAATAGGGAAAGGCTCCCTATTTGTCCTGTGGCCACGTGACTCGCGCGACCTTACCTATCATTGGAGACGACTCACACTCCTTACCCTGCCCTCTTGCCTTGTATACAATAAATAACAGCACAACCAGGCATTAGGGGCCACTACCGATCTCCGCGCCTTGGTGGTAGTGGTCCCCTGGGCCCAGCTGTCTTTTCTTCTATCTCTGCCTTGTGTCTTTATTTCTACGATCTCTCATCTCCGCACACGAAGAGAAAAACCCACAGGCCATGTAGGGCTGGACCCTACAGAGATGTAGACAGAACAGGAGAAATATGCTCTATCATGGGGCATGGAAGAAATAAATCGCTGTCTTGTCAAGACCAGACCACTGAAACTGCGGCCTTCCCGGAGCTGCTGCTTCGCTTCCAAGCACTCACTCTACACCAGTTGCACAGAGATAAATATGGAACATGGCACAGTCTTCAAATAGCAGGCAGACTCATAAACAATTATATGACAGTGCAATGTATGCGGCAATAGCAGCATGCCCAAGATGCTACCAAAGCACAGAGAAGGAATGCTGCTCCCAACAACCCCCTCAGTTATGCACGCCAGGAACCCGGGAGCCAGCCTAGACTTCTCCCTCACTCCACACACCTCGACAGTCTCCAGGTCCTCTTCATCAGAAATGCCTTTGGACTCGTCTCATCCCATCTTCCAAGGCCCTTGATATCTATTGCTCCATTATCGCTTGTCATCTCTGTCTGGACCTCATGGCTTGCCCCAGTTATGGCCTCATTTTCCATCTTCCCCTTTCAGCCAATTTTCCCCAACAGCTGTTTCTACTTGCTGTCTGCAAACACTCAGTTTCCATTCTCTGTTAAACCTGCTCCCTCAGGCTTGCGCACCCACCACTCCACCAAAACTGCTCCAGTCTTCTACATTGCTAAACCCAGTGATTCTTATCCTCAGCTTACCTGACCTATCAAAATTTGATGCACACCTCCCTCCTTCCAGTGCCTTCCTCCCTTGAACTCCAGGATGCCAAGTCCTTCTGGTTTTCTGCCTACCTCGCTGTCTGCCTCATTTCCATTATCTTTGTTGGTTCTTTCTCATCTCCTTAACTTTCAATGGGCTCTCCTCTGAATGAGGCTTACAGATCCTACTGTCTAACATTGAATTCTTCATGATCCCCTGAAAACTCATTCTTCCCACGGCTTTTCTCTTCTAGGTAAAGAACAACTCCATTTTTCAGTTACTCAGACAAAAAAGTTAAAATCTTCCTTAATTTCTCTCTTTCTCTCCACCCTGTATACAAATCATCTGAAAATTCTGTTTGCTCTACCTTCAAAATATGTCCAGAATCAGATCACTTTTTATTACTTCTACCAGCATAACCTGGTTCATGCCATCACTGTATCTTGTCTAAATGACTGCATTAATAAAAATGGCTACCATATATAGTGCTTACTGTGTGCCAGGCACTTCCCTTGTGCTTTGCATATGTTGATTCATTTACCCTTCACAACCGCTCCATAAGCTAGGTATCATTACACTATTACCCCAGTTTACAAAAGAGGAAACTGAAGGCCAGGGAGGCTGTGTGACTTGCCCAAGGTCACTCAGAGAATAAATAATAGAGTTGGTCTCCCTACTTCCACCCCGGACCCCCATGCAGTCTATTCTCACACAGCAGCCAGAATGATCCAAATGCAACATCAGTTACATTGTGCTCCTTCTTTACTCAAAACCCTGTGATAGCTCTCCATCTTATTCAAGTAAAACTAAGACCTTCAGTGTCTCTAATGTCCTACATCAGGGTTGACAGACTATGGTGTGCAGGCCATTCTGACCCATCACCCATTTTTGTAAGTAAAGTTTTGTTGAAACAGCCATGTTTATTCTTTTACATTTGGTCTGTGGCTGTTTTCACACTACAAGGGCAGAGTTCAGCAGTTGCAAGAGAGACCACGTGGTGCACAAAGTCTGAAATATTATGTTTACTGTCCGGCCCTTTACAGATAAGCTTTGCCAACCCCACCCTACACAGTTTGCCTCCTCCCCTGTCTCTGATGTTGCCCCTGGCCCCCACCCTGCCTGCCTTGATTCTGCTCCAGCCACACTGGCCTCCTTGCTTTCCCAAGATCTCACCAGGAACGCTCTGACCTCAGGCTCTGCCTTTGCTGTTCTCTCTGCCTGGAAGGCTTTCCCTGGGACCTGGAATGCTTTCCTCCCTCACTCCCTTTAGGCCTTTTAATCCTTTTCTCACCAGGGCCTTCGCTGATCCCCTTATCTAAAATTGCAACCCTGCCCACGTTCTCTATCCTCCTTCCCTGCTTTATTTTTTTCCCATTGCTTTTCATATTATCTGAAACACTATATATCATATTATTTATGTGTTTGTTGCCTGTCTCCCCCTAGTAAGGTGTAGGCTCCCAGAGGGCAACAGTCTTTATTTTGTTGTCTTATAGATCTCTAATGCCCAGAACAGTCGCTGGCACAGTGTGGGCATTCAGTATTTGTAGAATTCATGAAGGGATGGGAGACTTCTTCAACAGTCTGCTAACTAGTTCCCCTGTTTGTGGTTTCTTCTCTCTTCTAGTCCAACATCCACCCTGCTACTGGTAATCTGTCTAAACACAGACCTGCCTGTCCTTCAGTGACCTCCACTCCTGCAGGAGAAAGGCTCCTTCTCATGGCACCGTATGGCATTTTCCACCCGGCCCTGACCCTCCTCTCTAGCCCCAGCTCCACCTCCACTCCCCTCTCAAGACTTAAGGAAATAAGATGCAGAGCTGATGACTTGCCCAAGATCACACTACTGGGAAGTGATGGAATAGAATTTGAACCCAGACTGTCTTACTCCCTAGTCCATGAGCCTAACTACCAATCAAAACAACAGCTAAACACCCAACCTTTCACCAATACCTCATGTCCTTCTGTGATGTTATGGCATTCTCTACTCTGCTCTCTGTGCCTGGAATATCGTCCTCCCTTTTCTCTGCTGTCCACTTCCGTGCGTTCCTTTGGAAAACTCTCAAAATCTGACTCACAGGTCACCTCCTCTGGGAGCCTCCCTACACTTTACCTCCTCCTCTAGGCCCTGTCATGTCCAGATGCCCAGCACATGCCCAAATCCCAGCACTCACCACACGGCATGGAGGGGTCCCTATCGGCCCAATTTAAATGATAGGAATTAGAAATCGTGTGACACGCGATACTAATAAAGTCTGACTTGATGCCTACAACTTTGGAATAATGCAACTCTCACCAATTAAATAAAAAGAACTAAGGCTCACGTAATTTCGAAGCTGCCTATCCAAGTCCATTGCAAATAGCGTTTACATTCTTGCCACACGGTGGCGCCACTTTAGCCGGTAAGGTGAAATCCCTGACACGTCCTGTCAGTGATGTCTGAACCGGGGTGTTGTTTGCACACACCAAGTGATTGTGGTGGCTTTTATTCAGGTTTTATACTTTTAAATCTCTTTAAATATCTTGTAATAATGTCATTCATACATTCCATAAGCGGTAGTTCTATGACAGTGCTGAGAAACACTGTGGAAAATCAGTTAGGTTGGAAGGGAGGTTGTATGTTGGATGTGATGAAACCCCATGCCATGCTCTGCTGTTCAATGAGCAGGCAGCCCCCCAAAAAATAAGAGATGATACTGAGAATATAGGAATTATGGTTATAGATTGATGTTTCCCTAGAATATATTTATCTCTTTTTTTTGTCAGGGGAGGGGACGGGGTCTGACTCTGTTACCCAGGCTGGAGTGCTGTGGTGCGATCACGGCTCACTGCAGCCTCGACTTCCCAGGCTCAAGTGACCCTCCCACCTCAGCCTCCTGCGTACCTAGGTCCACAGGCACATGCCACCATGCTGGGCTAATTTTTTAATTTTTTGTAGAGACAAGGTCTCCTTAATTTGCCCAGGCTGGTCTCAAACTTCTGGGCTCAAGCGATCCGCCCACCTCAGCCTCCCAAAGTGCTGGGATTACAGGCATGAGCCATTGTGACCCCGCAGAATGCATTTCCATAAGAAATATTCTTCAGAAGAAACGTGCACTGAATGACGTGCACTTTGACTCCGGCCCTGCATGGTAAAGATTCATTTTTCTTGCTTTCTCAGCCATAAGCTGGGAGATTCCTAATGACTCGGCTACAGTTGAGCTGCTGCTTTGATTAGTGGTTAGGCTAATGGGCTAGGCAATCTGGGTTCAAATTCTAATTCCACCACTCCCCAGTAGTGTGATCTTGGGCAAGTCATCAGCTCTGCATCCTATTTCCTTATGTGTAACATGGCCACAGAACCGCCCTCAGCTCATGGGGTGCTGCGTGAGAGGTAAATGGAGCCAGTCTATGAGGGCTGAGCGCAGCTCTGGGACAGTGTCCCTGCTGGCTGGACATGAACCATGCTTCCCTTCTGCAGCCACATTAACCCAGCTCACAGCTGAGCCAAACTCCCAGACAGGGAAGGTTCCCATCACTTAGAGAATTGTCTCGCCCTCCTCTCTTGCCCTTTCTGACTCGGAGCTAGTGTGCTGACTGTGCTCATCTCAGAAAACCAATATGGTATTCAGCTCCTTGCCAATCCCATTTTGAACTCTGTGGGGAAAGTTTTGGGTTTTTCTGAAATAGTAGGAAAGGCCATTATAGCTCTGGTGGATCAAGGCTGGCAAGAAGTCGGCAAAGCCTTTGGGGACCTGTCTCTCCCGTTTGCCACGTCTACCTCTCCTTCCCTGGGCTGTTACGACCAACTCCTCACATCTCTGGAGACTTCACAAGGACCTGCTGCCTGACACATGGCACCCCGTGAGCCAGACCCAGAGTTCTCTCCTTCCCCCACCCTCAGTCAGAGCTCAGAGAGCGGGGCTCCATGGAGATGCCCTTGCTCCTCCTTCTCGGGAGGCGCTCTTGCCATCTTTGGGGAATAGGATATTTTAGGGACAAGTCAAAGGATGATAAAGGCTGGAAGGAGCTTACAGGGACACTGCTCCTCCCTCTCCTTGGAGTGCCATTGGCTAGTAAGATTTGAGATGGCCCATTTTGAGGGCTGAGGGTGGGAGTTGCTTCTGATTGCAAGACTCTGACCCGGAATCACTAAAGCAGCTGGGCAGGCCTGGAAAAGGGAGAACAGGAATGTATTAGTCAGGCTTCTCCAGAGAAACATAAGCAATAGGATGTGTAGATATGAAGACATTTATTGTAAGGAATTGGCTTACATGACTGTGGAGGCTGGGAAGAACCTCTTCCTGCCATCTGCAAGCTGGAGACCTGGGAAAGTCAGTGGTGTCGTTCAGTCCAAGTCTGAAGGCCTAAGGACCAGGGGAGCCTATGGTCCCAGTCTGAGAGCAGGAGAAGACAAATGTTGCAACTCAGGCATCCAGGCAGAGGACAAACTCAGCCTTCCTCTGCCTGTTTGTTCTATTCAGGCCCCTGACAGATTGGATGGTGCCACCCACCCTGGAGAGGGCTGTCTGCTTTACTCAGCCACCAATTCAAACACCAACATCATCCAGAAGCACCCTCACAGATGCACCCAGAAGTAAGCCAACTATCTGGACACCCCATGACCCAGTCAAGTTGACATGTAAAATTAACCACCCCAAGGAGATTTGCTCCTTAGAGCTTCACCTCTGCCAGGGTTCAGAACCTTTTCACTTTTTTCCCATGGACCCCCTATTCAGAAAGATTTTAGCTACCAAATTGCATTTTTAAAACAATCTCCTAATTTATTTCTCCATTGCACACATGCACATGGGTGAGTGGGTAAACCGAAGAGGAGTGTGAGGGAGGATTGTCAGAGCAGAAGGTGAGACAGGAGGTACCAGCCTTCCACTCTCTTGGATTCAGATGTATTGGTGAGGCAGGATAAGGAAGGTGAGGAGGCCACACTGACTTGTCCCCTGGTGTGAAGCCCCATGGGCTCCTTTCAAAGCAGGCCCCCCTTGTGCATCAGCACCTACCTGTAAGCAGTCCTACAGGCTACCGGCAGACCGCCAGATGGCTACAAGTTCCTGATACCTAGTACCACCTGAGAAAGAGAACAAAAACCCATTGTTCATGATGTGATGCAGCTTCCCCAATCTGTAGCCAATCAGCACTAAAACCCCAAGAAGCTATTAGCTACAAATTCCTGGCTTGTGGGGGTGGACTAAGGACTTCTCCTGGGTCTCATATGAGCAGCTAGGCTCAAGGTTTAACTTAGTGATTTTTCCTCATTTTAATAAACACACCTCTGGGTGATTTTCTACGCTAGTGATAACATGCAATGCATGTGAAAGCATGTAGATGCTGAGTGCATACACCAACCATAGGTCAGCCTTTGCACTTCACCTCACCAGTAGTTCATGCATATGTCTGTACAGCTCTCATAAAGGGAATTCCCTTGGGACACTGGGGGCTGTCTCTGCCTCTGAGCAGCCCACTCTGCCTCTGAGAGTGTACTTTCACTCTGCAATAAACTTCTTTGCCTACTCTTACTTTGGACCCACCCTCAAATTCTTTTGTGCGGTGAAGTCAAGAATCTGAGTCACCCCACCAGCCACACTGGCTTGGGTGATGCTCTGAAAAGGCCCTGGAGACCTAGACAGTTGCCCTTAGCTCAGCCCCTAACTGGCTGTGTGACCTTGAGCAAGTCACTTCTTTCAGCCTCAATTTGGAAGCTGAGGAGGTCTGATAGTGTCTTCTCTGCAGCTTCAGATGAGGGTTCTCCCCTCCCATTGCCATTCTGTCCCATCTGCTATGCTCAAGTTCCTGAGAGACACCCAGTCTTTGTCTCTCCCATGGATCCTTGCACAGCGTCCTGCACAAAGTGGGCACTTGGTACATTATTTGATCAATGAGAGAATGATAAAAGGAGCTTCCATTTCTGCAGCATCTCTCATGGGCCAAGCACTGTGTCAGGAACCTTTATGAATATTATGTCTAATTCTTACAACACCTCAGGATAGACATTTAAAACATTTTCTGCTGCAGGAAACTGAGTTGGTTATACATCTAGGTTAACACTCTACTATTATCACTGATCTTTGCAATGCTCTTCTCTTTTCTTGTTTTACTCTATACCCCCAATATTATGATTTATAATAAGAATTTTTTTTGTTCCTCATCCATGGTTCCTGACACAGAGCTCCTAAAACACTTGTAATCTGCAATGAGAGTGCTAGGTACATCTTTTGTTCTAATATTTTGTCTTTGACCCCAGTTTCTGACACAAAACTCCTAATCTCTTGGAATTTACTGGGTGATAGGAGTGTCTTTGTTCTAATTAGGTGACTTTTTTTTTTCTTTCGAGATGGAGTCTTGCTCTGTTGCCCAGGCTGGAGTGGAGTGGTGTGATCTTGGCTCACTGCAAGCTCCGCCTCCCAGGTTCATGCCATTCTCCTGCCTCAGCCTCCCAAGTAGCAGGGACTACAGGCGTCCGCAACCACGTCTGGCTAATTTTTTTTTTTTTTTTTGTATTTTTTTTAGTAGAGACGGGTTTTCACCATGTTAGCCAGGATGGTCTTGATCTCCTGACCTCATGATCCACCCGCCTTGGCCTCTCAAAGTGCTGGGATTACAGGCGTGAGCCACCATGCCCAGCCTACCCAACACTGTTTTGAAGAATTCTCCATGCTGCTCTGTGTACATCTAGTCCATTGCTTCTGCCTGCTGTCCGGAATTCCACAGGCGCATCCACTGTGGTTGACTTATCCATTCCCTGGTGGTGAAAACCTCCAATATCTCTCCTGTCTGCTACCACAAACACCACCACGACGAATATCCTTCTACACATCACCGTATACGCCTTCTGGGATATAATCCAAGAGCAAGATTGCTGGGTCCAAGGGCATGTACAATGTGGAGATTATGGCCCCAATTTTAGAACTGAAGAAATGATGCTTAGATTACACAAACAGCACTTGGGGATTCATTTCCAGAGTTTCCGCCTCCAGATGCTGTGCTAGTCCCAAGGTGTCAGCCCACCTCAGTGAATAACTAAATCTGGTCCATTCAGTGCAACAATTAATTTCCCTGCTATGTAGACCTCGCATCTCAATAATGAACTGAGATAAACTAAAGGGATTGTCTAGACATCTTGGCATGACTGTGACTTGAGGAACTCTTGCTTCTTTTAATTATTGACACTCTCTCACATGTTTCAGCAGAACACAGTTACAAGCATGCCCCATGTCTATTGTCTTACTCCCCTAACAACCCTATGAGGTAGGAATGATCATCATTTCCATTTTACAGCGAAGGAAACAGAGGTTCAGTATCATTTATTTAGCTGTAAAGTGGCAGGGCTCAGAATCAAATGCAGGCCTCTGAATCCAAGTCTAATGTAATTTCCACCACTCCAGTGCTGGTAGCCCAGGAAAATAAGCCTGTTCCCCATAGCCAGGCACTTGGATGAGATCACAAAAGCTCAGAACTTTGAGCCAGCTGTTTGCAAACCCTGTCTGCAGATGTTTGGCATTCAGCAGGGACAGCCCTGGCCAGGAAAGGGAGACAGCCCAGCTGGCACACAGAAGGGAGAGGGGCATGGTACCAGGGATGGCCCCCTGCACAGGCAGTCCTGGAACTGCAGAGCTCCATGCTGCTGTCAGTGGGTGGCAGCAAGGCGCTGTGGCCTTTTCCAACGATGGGACTACCTGGCTTCTCTCTCCTGGCTCTCGCCCCAGACACTGAGAAACATTAGTGGTGGCAAGAGAGAAACAAATGCCCTCTGCTTTTGAAGTCTTCCCTGGCAAACCCCTCTAGCTGATTTTATTCCGTTCTGTTTAGTTTACACAGCCCAGCATTTTCACAAACACACTTCCATTAGACAAATATTTGCTCTCTACTCTGCGCCAGACAAGTGCTCAGCAACTTGAGATTATGAAATGACTAATTTCACGAGCCATGAGTTACTAAGCAAGATACTTATACCCTGAGCCAATGATGATACGATATGATACGATAGTACCTGCCCCAAAGGTGGTTGCAGGGCGAGCACATGCGCAGCACAGGGCAAATGCTAGAGGAGCAGTATTTGGTAGTATTACTTGATGTAATAAAGGAAGAAAGTAGTAAATAGAAAATATGAAGGAGCACTGGGAAGGGAACAATGAACTAGCTCTGGACAGAGCATGGAGGTGGCAGTAGATACCACTGAGTAGGGAGACGGTATTCAGCTGCAGGATGAGATGTTTCCTGGTGAAGAGGCACAAGGTAGCAAAGGGAAGAACATGCATAAAATAAAGACGTTCCCTCCCTCTGCAAAGAGCCTTCACCAGGGCTTCTTTCCTCCCCTCTGTGGCCAGGACGTGGTTGCACTTAATCCGTTTCCAAGCCTCTCTTTCCCTTAGATTCTGAGCTCTTTGAAACCTGGGACTGCGTGTTCCGCCCTTAGCACAGGGTTGTACACAGTCAGCCCTTATTAGAGATTTTTGGTGAATGAAATACAAGAGGTATAAAGGAGCATGGGCTCTACAAGTAGTGGGGAAGGGTTTGCATGCCTGATGCATAGAGCAAATGCTGGGAACGAGAGGGATGAATGCTGAGAGTTAGACCGTCAACTGTCCCATGCTATTGGCTGGGGATTTCCATGGATGGCTCGGATTAAGGAGTAGCAGTAAGAGAGAGAGTAAATGTGGGAAGTGGGAAGGGTTGGCCACTACACAGATTGATGGGGACGGAAGCTGGAGGAAGAAGTCAAGGATAACACTTTGCTCCATCCTGAACTGGCTTCCTGCTCTTGAATAATTCGCCATGTCTGCCAAGAGGGCACAAACATTCATTCGAATGAGGCCCCACACATTCTGCTGGAATTGATTGGCTCCCATCTTGGCAGGGGAACAGAGCCAACAGGATGTGTACCTATACCTAGAAAAAGAAAGGTCTATTTTAAGGAATTGGCTCATGTGATTGTGGAGGTGCAAGTCCAAAGTCTGCAGGACAGGCCAGCAGCTGGAGACCCAGGGAAGAGCTGCAGATCGAGCCCACAGTCAGCCTGCTGGCATCATTCTTCTTGCTTAGGGGAGGTCAGTCTTTGTTCTTCAGCTTATTAGATGACACTCGCCCACGTCATGGAAGGCAATCTGGTTGACTCAGAATCCACCCATTTAAATGTTAATGTCTTCCAAAAAACACTTTGACAGAAACATCCAGAAAAATGTTAGAATGTTTAACCAAAGATCTAGGCACCATGGCCCAGCCAAGCTGACATATAAAATTAACCATCACAGACAGCACTCTAAGAATTCAGCCATGTCCCTCACACGGACAGTCAGTTCATCTGCAGCTGATCTGCAAGCGTGCTTTCTCTCTCTCTCTCTCTGATATCTCTATACCCCAACAGAGTCACTATAGGGAAAATTCCTGATGTGGGGGTGGTTACTCCCATGCTGTTCTTGTGATAGTGAGTGATTTCTCACGAGATCTAATGGTTTTATAAGGGGCTTTCCCCCCTTGCTTGGCACTTCTTCCTGCCACCCTGTGAAGAAGGTGCCTGCTTCTCCTTTGCCTTCTGCCATGATTGTTAAGTTTCCTGAGGCCTTCCCAGCAATGCAGAACTGAGTCAATTAAAGCTTTTTCCTGGCTGGGCGCTGTGGCTCACGCCTGTAATCCCAGCACTTTGGGAGGCTGAGGCAGGCCGATCACGCGAGAACAGGAATTCAAGACCAGCCTGACCAACATGGTGAAACCCTGTCACTACTAAAAATACAAAAATTAGCCGGGCATGGTGGCATGCACCTGTAATCCCAGCTACTCAGGAGGCTTAGGCAGGAGAATTGCTTGAACCTGGGAGGTGGAGCCGAGATCGTGCCACTGCACTCCAGCCTGGGGGATAGAGCGAGACTCTGCCTCCAAAAAAAAAAAAAAAAAAAAAAAACCCCACCTTTTTCCTTTATAAATTACCAGTCTCAGGTATTTCTTCATAGCAGTGTGAAAACGGACTAACACACCATCTCCAGCCCTGTTTTGCCCACATGAGCCATGCCACCCCATTTATCGTTCTCCTCACATTCCCAGAGTCAGACACATCTGTAAGGCAGCAACTCACGAAAACTCCTGAGAGTATGCAGGGAGCAAATCCTCTCCACTCCTGGGTCCCCTCAAGTTCCAGGGGAACATTAACCTGTGTCTCCTTGGCCAGGGATGGAAGGGCAGGGGCAGGGAGCCGACGGTATTGTTCAAATGGTGTGTTTTGAAGAGAATTAAATACAGAGATTATTTATGAAGGTGTGGGCAGGGTGCGGGGAAACCCATGTCCAGTGCAGTATCCCTGAGCTAGCTAGTAACGTAGGTGCTGTTACCACCCGCAGCCGCCATGACCAGAGCCATAGGACCTTGGCAGAAGGAAGCCCCGGAATAAATACCCACCCTCACTTTCCTCCTGCCTTCTTTGTCCTGTTACTGTTCCCCATGATCTGAATCCAACCAGAGGCACTGGTCAGAGAGGCCCATTGATGTGTTTATAGCTCAACTTCCCGGGGCAGAGAGCCGAGTGGAGAGGGTGAAGAGGGAATGTGGAAGGCGATCCTGAAGCTATCTAGCCAGGCAGGGTAGAGGTCCCTTCACACTCACATCTGGAGCTCTTACTCCTTCTCCAAAACCTCCCACCTGTCTCCAGCTCAGAGCCGAGCATGATGACAGGGGACGGGGAACTTGTTCTGCCTTTTCATTTCCTCCTTGAAATATCTTCTTTCTTATACCTGTAGGCCTAGACCAGGCAGCTTGTCCTTCAGAGCTGAGTATTTGCCATCTGTTTCAAGCTGGCCCATTTCTGGCATCTACCCCTGGGGCAAACGGTGGCCTCCAGGTCAGCCATCTCAAGTGTGTGTGTGTGTGTGTGTGTGTGTGCGCGCGCGCGCGTGCGCGTGCGTGCGTGCTTGTAGGTGAGTGTGTGTTAGAGTGTGTGTGAGTGTGTGTGAGTGATAGTGTGTGTGAGTGTGTGTATATGAGAGAGGAGGAGAGGAGAGGAGAGGGGAAGGGAGGGGAGGGGAGGAGAGGGGAGAGGACAGGGAGGGGAGGGGAGAGGAAGCAGGAGGAGAGGAGAGGGAGGGGAGAGGAGGAGAGGGAGGGGAGAGGAGGAGAGGGAGGGGAGAGGAGGAGAGGGAGGGGAGAGGAGGAGAGGGAGGGGAGGAGAGGAGAGGGAGGGGAGGGGAGAGGGAGGGGAGGGGAGGAGAGGGGAGAGGAGAGGGAGGGGAGGGGAGAGGAAGCAGGGGGAGAGGAGAGGGAGCATTTTGGTAAACTTCTAAAATAACGAATCCCTGAAAATGGTGAATTTTTACTGAATATTTCCTGTGTACCAAGCACAGCACAGCTCCTTTAGTCCTCCCCTATCTCCTTCAGTGATGTTGTGTTTTTCCTAATTTACAGATGAGGAAACTGAGACTTCAAGGGTCCAAATATCTTAGTGTTCTTGAGCCAAAGGTGCTGAGTGAAGGAGACATGGTCCCTGCCCTTGAGGAGCTGGCAGTCTTTCTGGGGAGACAGATGGTGAGCAGGTGAGCAGATGCACGGTGTGGTAAGTGCTGTCACGGATGGGTGAGACACCATTCGGTGCACAGAGGAGGAAGTGATTTTATACCAGGGGTGTGTCCATGAGGACGTCAGAAAAGAGGGGACATTTGTGTTTAGGCTTAAAGTCTTATTTGGGTCACTAGATGGACCTAGAGGGCACTCCAGGCAATGGGAAGAGCGTGCAAAGACACAGACAAAAAAGGGCATGGTGTTCTGGGAAAATGGTGAGAATTCCATTGTGGATGGAGCAAGGGAAAGAGGGAGGAGGGGAGGAAAAGCCGAGGGATGGAGGCAAGGAGAACAGTCTTGGCTTTTATGTTAAAATAAATTCTCATGGCAGAATTCTTGCTGATGTGCAAATTCAAAATTTTATTCAAAACATAGGCTCTGTAGTGATCAACCAAAGACCCACACTGGAAGTGTTAAGTAAATTTCATCTGTTCAGTCTGTCCAAACACAGCTATAAAAAGAGCTAAACAGGGCTTGAAAAGGATGTTTTGAATACTTAAAAAAAAAAAGTGGAGTCAGAAGAGCATTTTGCATTTTCTAGGAAGATTGACTACTCTGTGTTTTAGGAGCAGTGCCTGCCACTATGCATGGTTAACTGAGCTGGAGGACCCTGTGCTTCCCGCACCTCACAGGCGGAGCAGCCTCTCAGGAACCCCTTCCGAGGCTTCCACCTGTGGGCATGCTGCTTTCTCATCACTGCTGCTGCTGACCTTTCTCCCCAGCAACTACCAAAAGCCCTTTTATCCACAGTCTAAACAACCAAGAGAATCAAGGAACCCCACAGAAGGAGGATGAGAGCAGTCTGTACTCAATTTTATGATCAGTAAATAATAAGAAGACAAGCTCCTGCTGGGCACTTAGTTCAACAGCAGCTCCCAGGTTGCATGTAGCCCCACCACCAGCATTGTTCGACTTCTGCATCTTTTGTGTGGCTCGCCCTGTTCTGGGCACTCAAGACATTTCACAACAATATCTGCAAAATTATAACATGTCATCTGCATTTTTAAGATGCATTATGGACCAGGCGTGGTGCTGGGAGTGCTTTGGGAGGCTGAGGTGGGAGGATCACTTGAGGCCAGGCGATCCAGTCAAGCCCAGGCAACAGAAGAAGACCCCATCTCTACAAATTTTTTTTTAAATCAGCTGGGTGTGGTGGCACAAGCCTGCAGTCCCAGCTATTTGGGAGGCTGAGGAAAGATGATCACTTGAGTCCAGGAGTTGGAGGCCACAGTGAGCTAGGATCATGCCACTACACTATAGCATGGATGACAGAGAGAAACTCCTTATTTAAAACAAACAAACTGACAAAACAAAAGGGAAGCATGATGGTGTGCCAGGTAGGGGTCTATTTGAAGGCATTTAGACTGGATTCAGCCAGTCAAGAAGTTCAATTAACCAGAAAATTTCATTTTCCAAAGAATCAGAATAACCAGGAGTTCATTGGAATCTCCCTGAAGGTCCTCCTGGATTTATTCCCACAGACTTACCCTACGAGCTTGGAGCTGCAGCAACATTCTTCACTTCCAGGAGGCGCAGGGACCCCTGGCATCATGGTGCTCTCTGGTCTTCAGGGATGGGGATGTGTGCGGCAGCTCAGGCTTAGGCCTCCTCAGATGCACAGGCTGCTTGTAACAAGGGCCCAGCAATGGGTGCCGGAGGCCGAAACCTGTGCACATTCTTTTGTCTGAAAGTCATAATCAGCCAGGCATGCAAAGATGTTGTTCGTAGGGGATTTATTCCAGCCGTGTATATTAGAGCAAAAAATCAGAAACAAACTAAATTTCCAACCCTCAAGGAATAGTCAACTACATTGTGGAACAGTCAGGTAATGTACTATAAAGCAGCCACTAAAAAAGGCATTGGGAAAATTTAATTATTCATCTGAAAAGATGTTCATAATAGATTAAGTTAAAAAGCAGTATATACAATAGCTAGAACATAGACACAATCCAAATGTCCATTGACAGGTGAATGGGTAAGCAAAATGTGATCTATACATACAGTGGAATATTATTCAGACTTAAAAAGGAAGGAAATTCTTTTGTTTTTTTAGACAAGGTCTTATTCTGTCACCCAGGATAGAGTGCAGTGGTGTGATCTTGGCTCACTGCAGCCTCAGCCTCCCAGGCTCAAGTTATTCTCCCACCTCAGTCTCCTAAATAGCTGAGACCACAAGTGTGCCACCACACCCAGCTAATTTTTGTGGGCTTTGTAGAGATGGGGTTTCAGCATGTTGCCCAGGCTGGTCTCAAACTCTTGGACTCAAGGGATCCTCCTACCTTGGCCTTCCGAAGTGGTAGAATTAACAGAAGTGAACCACCATGCCTGGACTCTTTTTTTTTTTTTTTTTAATTAAGAGACAGGTTCTCACTCTGTCACCCAAGCTGGGGTGCAGTGGCGCGATCATAATTCTCTGCAGCCTAAAAGGAAGGAAATCCTGATATATGCTACCGCATGGGCGAACGTTGAGGACATTGTGCTAAGTGAAATATGTCAGCCACATAAGGACAAATATTTTATGATTCTACTTATATGAAGTACGTAGAGTGGTGGCATTCAGAGAAAGTAGAATGATGGTTGCCAGGGGCTGGGAGGAGGGAAAATGGGGAGTTATTGTTTAATAGATGCAGAGTTTCCATTGGAGAATATTTTTAAAGTTCTGGGCCGGGCACGGTGGCTCACACCTGTAATCCCAGCACTTTGGGAGGCTGAGGTAGGTGGATCACTTGAGGTCAGGAGTTCGAAACCAGCCTGGCCAACATGGTGAAACCCCATCTCTACTAAAAATACAAAAATTAACCAGCCGTGGTGGTGCACACCTGTAATCCCAGCTGCTTGGGAGGCTGAGGCAGGACAATCGCTTGAACCAGGGAGGTGGAGGTTGCAGTGGGCCAAGATTGTGCCATTGCACTCCAGCCTGGGCAACAAAGTGAGACTTTGTCTCAAAAGAAAATACAAAAATAAAAAAATAAAAATAAAGTTCTGGAGATGGATGATGGTGATCGTTGCATAACAATTTGAATGCACTCAGTGCCACAGAACTGCATGCTTAAAAATGGATAAAATTGTAAATTGTAAATTTTATGAGAAAGTATTTTTTTTTAATTTCACAATGTATTTTTTTTCTTTGAGACGAAGTCTCGCTCTCTTGCCCAGGCTGGAGTGCAATGAATGGCATGATCTCGGCTCACTGCAACCTCCGCCTCCCGGGTTCAAGTGATTCTCCTGCCTTAGCCTCCTGAGTAGCTGGAATTACAGGCATGCACCACAACACCCCACTAATTTTTGTATTTTTTAGTAGAGACGGGGTTTCACCATGTTGGCCAGGCTGGTTTCGAACTCCTGACCTCAGGTGATTCAACTGCTGCGGCCCCCCAAACTGCTGGGATTACAGGTGTGAGCCACCACGCCTGGCCCACAATGAATTTTTTAAATTGGCAATGATTGTATATATTTACAGGGTACAATGGAATTTTTTGATATATGTATACATTACAGAATAATTAAATCAACCTAATTAAAATATCCATCATGTCACATATTTGCATGTGTGTAGTGTGATTTGATTTTTTATTTTGATTTTTATTAGTGATGGGTACACTAGAATCCCAATCCCCACCATATTGAGCTTTGCCAAAATATTGAACATTGCACACAATAGGGAATTTGTCAGCCCACCCCCACTTTGTAGTTCCTGCTGTCTGTTTTCTCCACCTGTATGTCCATGTGTACCCATTGTTATCTCCCATGTATAACTGAGAACATGGAATATTTGACTTTCTGCTTGTCAGTTAGGTGTAGGGAAAAGAAAGAGAGATCAGACTGTTACTGTGTCTATGTAGAAAGGAAAGACATAAGAGACTCCATTTTGAAAAAGACCTGTATTTTAAACAATTGCTTTGCTGAGATGTTAATTTGTAGCTTTGCCCCAGCCACTTTGCCCCAACCTGGAGCTCACAAAAACACGTGTTGTATGAAATCAAGGTTTAAGGGATCTAGGGCTGTGCAGGATGTGCCTTGTTAACAAAATGTTTACAAGCAATATGCTTGGTAAAAGTCATCGCCGTTCTCTAGTCTCAATAAACCAGGGGAACAGTGCACTGCGGAAAGCCGCAGGGACCTCTGCCCTTGAAAGTGGGGTATTGTCCAAGGTTTCTCCCCATGTGATAGTCTGAAATATGGCCTCATGGGATGAGAAAGACCTGACTGTCCCCCAGCCCGACACCCGTAAAGGGTCTGTGCTGAGATGAATTAATAAAAGAGGAAAGCCTCTTGCAGTTGAGATAGAGGAAGGCCACTGTCTCCTGCCTGCCCCTGGGAACTGAATGTCTTGGTATAAAACCCGATTGTACATTTGTTCAATTCTGACATGAGAGAAAAACCGCCCTATGGTGGGAGGCGAGACATGTTTGCAGCAATGCTGCCTTGTTATTCTTTACTCCACTGAGATGTTTGGGTGGAGAGAAACATAAATCTGGCCTACGTGCACGTCCAATCATAGTACCTTCCCTTGAACTTAATGATGACATAGATTCTATTGCTCACGTGTTTGTTGCTGACTTTCTCCTTATTATCACCCTGCCCTCCTACTACATTCCTTTTTACTGAAATAATGAAGATAATAATCAATAAAAACTGAGGGAACTCAGAGACCGGTGCCGGTGCAGGTCCTTGGTATGCTGAGCGCCGGTCCCTTGGGCCCACTGTTGTTTCTCTGTACTTTGTCTCTGTGTCTTCTTTCTTTTCTAAGTCTCTTATCCCACCTGACTAGAAATACCCACAGGTGTGGAGGGGCAGGCCACCCCTTCACTTAGGATAATGGCCTCCAGTTCCATCCATGTTGCTACAAAGGACATGATTTCATTCTTTTCATGCTGCATAGTATTCCACGGTGTATGTGTACTATATTTTCTTTATCCAGTCAACCACTGGTAGACACTTGGGTTGGTTCCATGATTTTGCTAATTTTCTGTAATGTATATTTTACCACAACAGAAAAGAAAAAAACCAATATGTATGTTTCTGCAAAACAAAAAATTTAGACATAGAAAAATATTTGGGAATATAAACTAAAAAGTTATTTCTCAGGGTTGGATTACGGGGAATTTTCTTTTTTTTTTTCTGAGATGGAGTTTTGTTCTTGTTGCCCAGGCTGGAGTGCAATGGTGCAATCTCAGCTCACCACAACCTCCACCTCCCGGGTTCAAGTGATTCTCCTGCCTCAGCCTCCTGAGTAGCTGGGATTACAGGCATGCACCACCACGCCCAGCTAATTTTTTGTATTTTTAGTAGAAATGGGGTTTTGCTGTGTTGGCCAGCCTGGTCTCAAATTCCTGACCTCAGGCAGTCCACCTGCCTTTGCCTTCCACAGTGCTGGGATTACAGGTGTGAGCCACCGCACCTGGCCTATGGGGTATTTACATTTTTCTTAGTTTTTGACAATGAACATGTATTACTTGCAGCATTCACTTTCTTCATTGAAGGAGATAGGGCAAGATAGGCACAAACTGACTCGGCCTGTCCCCTAATGGGCAGTGGTTGGAAGGAAGAGTGCAGCACCACCTGCATGTGTCAAAACAATCTTCATTACTGGGCAGATACTGATTATCCCTGATGGGACCCCACCTGCCTGGACAGAGAGCCCACACCCATTCTTCCACCTTCACTCATGTGGACACTCAGACAACAGCAAGTCCATGGAGAACCACAGAAGCTGTGAAGTTTCCAGATCTCTCATGAGTCTCACTACTGCCTTGCGCTTTTTCTATCCATTCTCTCCCTTATTCACCTGGACAACATTAGTTCATCGAAACTCAGCCCAGCTGACACCTCCCCCGGGAAGACTTCCCTTACCCTCCGAGCTATGTCTAGAGTCCCGAGCTGTCTCTGTGCAGTACATATCCCACAGACTGAGCTCCTGGAGGCAGGGCCAGAGCTCAGCAGCTGTGCAGCCTCGGTGCCCAGCCCAACGCCCAGCCCAGGCAGGAGCTCGGGTTGGCTGAACTGAACAGAAACTATCTTGTTCCTGAGATGTAGCTAGTTTCTTGATAGAGGTCATCCAGTGCTAGCAGCTCAGTTTCCAACTCCATTTTGAGAATTATGGCCAATAATTTGTTTTCCTAAAGCAAAAAGGAGGTGAATCATAAATCCGAGTGGTTTTTGTTTGGCGGACTTTTTCTTTCTTTCTTTTTTTGTCCTTTTTGAGACAGGGTCTTGCTCTGTCACCCAGGCCAGAGTGCAGTGGTACAATCACAGCTCACTGCAGCCTTGACTTCCCTTATTCAATGTTTAGCCTTTAATGCAAATATCACAAGTGGGTCATTGATTATTTTTAAGGGGAAAGGTAACTTTTTGGCAAGCGACTCATGTCCACACACACCCCATATTTGAATTTCATTTGTCAGTGATTCTTACCTGGACTTGAGCTGCTCAAGAGCTGGGAGCCCACCCACTGCATGCCACGTAGTAGGTCTTCGCCCGTGTGCCAATCATTAGAGACACTGGAGCCCTGAAAGCTGCCGATGTTGCCCTGTTGCCATTGGCTTTCACTCTTTCTTGTGCTCTTGCCACATGCCAGGCATTGTTGCAGGTGCTGAGGAGGCAGCAGGGAACAAATCCTACAAAACACGAGCCCACCCCTCCCACCAAACAACACTTACAAACTCTTACCAGAAGCTGGGCCCCATAGACTCACCCATTTTAAAGAAGAGAAAGAGAGAAAGGAAGGAAAGCCTGCACTGCAGGACTCTGGAACAAGTGTGGATTAGGACCCAGAAGTCTTCAGTTTATTTTGAGCTTTCTGGCTGTGTGACTTTGGGAAATCTACTTGACCTGTCACTACCTCAATTTCCTTATTCATAAAATAGGAATAATGACAATATCTGATAAGATTGAGAGAATTAAATTAAACATGTAAAGTGCTTAGAATAATGCCTGGCACATGGTAAACAGCCAGTACAAATTACTATTTATTGCGGTTGCTGTTATTACTAACCCAGAGTAGGTCCTGTAACATCTCAGCTTTAGTTTCTTCTCCTGTAAAGGGAACAATACTAACACCTCCCTCATAGGTAAAAGTCTAATGAGATGAAGCAGGTGAAAGCACTTTATCAACTGGGGTTATAAACTAGGTACTCACAGCCTCCAGCAGCAAGCCACTCAGGGAATCCAGGGAGATAAGGGGTAGGAGGCAGAAGGTGTCCAGGAGTCATGGGGTTTGGGATCAGGAACAAGCAGCTGACTCTCAGCTCCAGCAGTTGTGGTCATGCAGATGTTTCCAATGAAGCCACAAATCCAGATTTTTATGTAAGATCCCTAGTTTTTAAATGTTGGCAATTAAGCCAAGTTTTTGTAAGTCACTTTGAGTGCCAATCAATACAAAGGTGCCGCCAATTCGTGACCTGTTATAAACTTTTACAACTATTACTTAATAAACCAAGGGGGTAAACTACGAACGTAGCTGATGCAATAACTCAACTGAAAAGCCGAAAAATAACTAACATTTCATTCTCCCAGTGGCCCTAAGAGACAGGCATTAGCATCCCCATTTTACAGATGAGGAAACTGACCAGAGATGGAAGGTCACAGAATTGCTGAATGGCCAATGGGGCTGGATGCTGTGACTCTGTGACTCCCTAACCCAGTCTTTTTTCACTCTGACTATGCAGCATGATTGCAGCACAGTGTCCTGAGCCCTCAGGCCCCACAACTTCACTGCAGAACTAAAATGCAGGGGAGCCAGCATCCAGACTCATTGTCCTGCCCTGCTCCACAGCGGGAAAAACCTACATGAAGACCATTAACCGCAACACCAATTTATTTTATTTTTTTGAGACAAGGTCTTGCTCTGTCACCCAGGTTGGAGTGCAGTGGCACAATTACAACTCACCACAGGCTTGACCTCCTGGGCTCAAGAGATCCTCCTGCCTCAGCCTTCCAGGAAGCTGGGACTACAGATGTGCACCACCATGCCCAGCTAATTTTTTGATTTTTTGTAGGGATGGGGTCTCACTGTGTTACCTAGGCTGGTCTTAAACTTCTGAGCTCAAGCAATCCCCCTACCTCAACCTTGCAAAGTGCTGGGATTACAAGCATCAGCCACCATGTCTGCTGTGGGTTTTTGTGTTCCATCATTCAACATCTGAATTGCTCCTTGCCTAAAAGAGCTGCTAGGCCATTAAGGTGTCTTTTCAGCAAGGCTTCCAGATCTGTAGGCAACTGAAAGAGAAAAGAGAGGGAAAGGATGTTAGGGTCTCCAGATCAAAAAGAGCCTCAGAACCAGCCCCCAAAGCAATGTACAAAAATGCAGCAGGGTCTATATACTAATATACTCACTTTATATGCACAATCCAAACCATAAGTCTCTACATAGCTGTGGTTTAGACCAGGGGCTCCCATCACCCTCAACTCAATGCGGGGCCCCACCCCCAAACAATTCACTCAGAACTGGGGATTTGATGGGGATATGGGTATGTTTTAAAAGCTCTCCAGTGACTTACCAAGATCACTGATCTACTGAAGACTAAGAGAATTCATTCATTCCCTTTATTCATTCAACAGCCCTTCCTTCCTTCCTTCCTTCCCTCCCTCCCTCCCTCCTTTCTTTCTTTTTCTTTCTCTCTTTCTTTTCTTTCTTTCTTTCCTTCTCTCTCTCTCTTTCTTTCTCTCTTTCTCTCTTTCTTTCTTTCTTCGGAGATGGAGTCTTGCTCTGTCACTGAAACTGGAGTGCAGTGGCGCGTTCTCGGCTCACTGCAACCTCTGCCTCCCGGGTTCAAGAGATTCCTCTGCCTCAGTCTCCTGAGTAGCTGGGACTACAGGCATACACCACCATGCCAAGCTAATTTTTGTATTTTTAGTAGAGAAAAATACGTGTTGGCCAGGCTGGTCTCGAATTCATGACCTCAAGTGATTCACCCACCTCAGCCTCCCAAAGATTACAGGCGTGAGCCACCACACCTGGCCAAACAGCTATTTCTTGAGTACCTACTACGTGGCAGGCACAATATTAGTGTTGGAAATAGAGGGAAATAGAAGACAATGTCCTTACCCTATTCTAGTTGGGAGAGAAAGTAAAAAAAAAAATAGCATAATTTTAGGTACAATATTAATTGTTGTAAAGAAAAACAAAACAAGCTAAGAAAGTAGGGAGTGACTGAGGAGCAGCTTCTTTTATTGAACATTTTAAACGTTTTTTGAATTAAGCTTATTTTTGAGTAGGTAATAGATTTGCAAGTTTTTAAAAAATCAAAATAGAAAAGATGTACCCTGAGAAGACCTGCTCCAGCCTCTAACTCCATTCCATTTTCTGGCCCAAACTTGGTTCCCTGACTGGCAGCGTCAGCACCCCTGGGAACTTGTTAGAAATGCACATTTTTAGGCAGGGCACGGTGGTTCACGCCCGCAATCCCAGAGCTTTGGGAGGCCAAAGCGGAAGGATTTCTTGAGCCCAGGAGTATGAGCCTGCATTGGGCTAGGATTGCGCCACTGCACTCCAGCCTAGGTGACACAGCAAGATGACACAGCAAGATCCTGTCTCAAAAAATAAAATAAAATAAAATAAAGAAAGAAAGAAAAAAGAAAAAAAAGCAAAAGGAGAAAAAGAAAAGAAATGCAGGTTTTGTGGCTCCACTCCGCACCCACTGAATCAGAAGCTGTAGGAGCGGGAGCCAGTGGTTTGCATTTTAACAAACCCTCCCTGTGATGCTAATCCACGCTGAAGTTTGAGAACCGCTGCTCTCTGTTAATAAACACACATTCCTCTTAGTTTCTAATGTGTCTTTCCAATGTCTCTTTCATAAATACTGGTAACACAGGTGTTTATTCTTGTTTTCTCTTTTCTTACACAATTACTAATCTGCACCATAGTTTTATTACTTAATGTATGCTAGAGATCTTTCCATTTAGGTACAAAGTTTATTATTTTCTATACATCCCTATGAAGTCATCGTGTGGATGTATCACAGACTAACCAATTCCCACTGAATGATCGTAGGTTATTTCCATCTTTTGCTGTTACTATTTGCTATTATGGCAGTTGCTAACCTTGCACATGTGTCATTTCGTGCTTGTGCATATCAGAGGATGAATTCCTAGATGTGAGATGCAGGATCAAAGGGTAAATAAACTTGGAAATGTCATAGATGTTGTCAAATTGCTGCTCCTTAAGGATTCCCATCTACAATGAATGAGAGCATTTTGCTTCACCACAAACTTACCAACAGAATGTGTTGGGATTTTGCCAGTCTGTGAGGTGAAAAGTTGTAGCCTAGTGTACTTTGTTTTGTTTTGTTTTTGAGACAGGGTCTCGCTTTGTCACCAAGGCTGGAGTGCAGTGGTATGATCACTGCTCACTGCAGACTCGACTTTCCAGGCTCAAGAGATCCTTTCACCTTAGTCTCCCGAGTAGCTGGGACTACGAGCACAAATCACCGTGCCCAGTTAATTTTTTATTTTTTTGTGGAGATGAAGTCTCTCTATGTTACCCAGGCTGGTCTTGAACTGCTGGGTTAAAGCAATCCTAGCACTTTGGCATCCCAAAGTGCTGGGATTACAGGTGTGAGACACCTTGCCCAGCCACCTAGTGTAGTTTTAATCTATATTTATTGAATGAAGTTGCCCACCTTTGCATATGTTTAAAGCCATCTGTATTTCTTTGACCGTAAACTACCTTTTTGTGTCTTCTGCTCTTTTTTCTGTGAGATTGAGGTATTAGTTCATTCTCATGCTGCTAATAAAGACATACCTGAGACTGGGTAATTTATAAAGGAAAGAGGTTTAATTGACTCATAGTTCAGCATGGCTGGGGAAGCCTCAGGAAACTTACAATCGTGGCAGAAGAGGAAGCAAACATGTCCTTCTTCACAAGGTGGTAACAAGGAGAAGTGCCGAGCAAAAGGGGGAAAAGCCCCTTATAAAACCATCAGATCTCATGAGAACTCACTCACTGTCATGAGAATAGCATGACGTTGACCACCCCCATGATTAAATTACCTCCCACAATACATGGGGATTATGGGAACTATAATACAATTCAAGATGAGATTTGCGTGGGGACACAGCAAAACCACATCAATTAATAATCTTGTATTTCTTTATTTCTAGAAGCTTTTTATATATTAAGGGAATTAATCCTTGGTGATATGAGCTGCAAATAATTTTTCCCAGTTTGTCTCTTGTTTTTTGACTTATGCTTAAGTAGTTTTTGTTTTGTTTTTTGAGACGGAGTCTCACTCTGTTGCCCAGGCTGGAGTGCAGTGGCATGATCTTGGCTCACTGCAACCTCTGTCTCTCAGGTTCAAGCAATTCTCCTACCTGAGCCTCCCAAGTAGCTGAGATTACAGTAGCACGCCACCACACCCAGCTAATTTTTGTATTTTTAGTAGAGACGGGGTTTCACCATATTGGTCAGGCTGGTCTCAAACTCCTGACCTCGTGATCCACCCACCTTGGCCTCCCAAAGTGCCAGGATTACAGGCATGAGCCACCGTGCCTGGTCACTTAAGTAGTTTTTTAAATTTTGGTTTGACTTTTAATTTTTAATATTGTTTTCTACCTAAAATTTAGTTCTTGAAAATCAGAATTTAGTAACTCATTCAAAATTTATTACAGGGCTGATCAGGGCCTATCAGAAGCAAATGACCAGGCCCCTTCCCTCAAGGAAAAGGCACCCCTTTTTCCTTTCCCCTCCACTCCTCTCTGGGTGGGTACCTGCAACCAGGATGCCATGGTTCCCTGTGGACCAGCCACAGGGAATGGAAATAGTCAGGTGGCTGGGGGAGCACCAGGCTCTCCCCATACTGGCTTTGTGGCCTCAGCTATGTGACCCCTGCCCTGTGGAATCCGAGTGAGCATGTACACAACCCCACTGTGGGAACAGGGAGGGGCCTAGGGCTAGGGGCCTTCTTGCCTTCATAGGACAATACTCTGTGGCCCTGGACCTTTGGCCCAGGCCAGGCTTCCCACACCCCATGTGACTGGCAGCCACGATGCCTGGGCCCCTGCCCTGCTCAGAAGTCATTCAGATGTTCTCATTCTGGTTCAGGGTCCAGCAGACCTCTTTGGCCTCATCTCCAATCTCTGGCCTGAGCTCTCCTCTTGGACTTGAGGGAGGGAACCAGCTTCTCTGCCTGTGGCCCTCAACCACCTTTTCTTCCTATAATCCACCTTATGCATCAACTTTGAAAATTAAAGAAGGTAACAGATACCAAAAGAAAGTTAGTTTTATCTATAATATTTGTATACATATATTTATGTAGTATCCACTCTGTGTCAGGCACAAAGAAAGTAGTATTTTTTTTTGAGCTACATGTTTTCTCCTATGATTTTTCAATATAAATATTAATATATATCACTATACAGGTGGTTCCCAACATAGGTTGGCTTGACTTAACCATTCTTTGACTTCATGATGGATTTTCTGAGCCACAACCCCATCATAAGTAGCTGTAAATAATTATGTATAAAGGAAGAAATGTTTTTTCCATCAATGGGGCCAAGAATCCAATATACAGAAGAGTGTATAACTTTTTAATCCCCCAAAAGAATAAATTATTCTAATAACTAAACATGGATTTACAAGTGAAATTCTGGAAGGCAGGCCCATTTGCAGATTTGTAAGTAGGTTGATGGTACATTTTCTATCTGCTGCTCAACGCTAAGCTCTGAGAAGGCAGAGGCCAAGTCCCCACAGTGTTCACAAATTACTCCTGGGAACAACTTACTAATGAAGGAATCATGGAGAAGGTGACCTAATCAAACACTTTTTTTTTTTTGGAGACGGAGTCTCGCTCTGTCGCCCAGGTTGGAGTGCAGTGGCGCGATCTTGGCTCGCTGCAAGCACCACCTCCCGAGTTCACGCCATTCTCCCGCCTCAGCCTCCCGAGTAGCTGGGATTACAGGTGCCTGCCACCATGCTCGGCTAATTTTGTTTTTGTATTTTTAGTAGAGACGGGGTTTCACCGTGTTAGCCAGGATGGTCTCAAACTTCTAACCTCAGGTGATCCGCCCACCTCGGCCTCCCAAAGTGCTGGGATTACAGGCGTGAGCCACTGTGCCCGGCCTCAGAATGGTAGATTTTAACATGTTTCAATCAATTGATAGATCAAGTAGACCAAAAAAAAAAAAAAATGAGCACAGATACAGGAGATTTGAACGAATGGATTCTCAAGTTTAATCTAATGGATATGCATATAACACTGGACTCATCTGCAAAATACACAGTCTTTCCAAGCACATGTGGAGCATTTATGAAAACTGAGTATCATAAAGCACGTCTATTCAAAGGATTACTATCATATATTCTCATTTTCTGACCACAATAGGGTTATCAGAAATCAACAAGGTGTATTAGTCCATTTTGTGCTGCTATAAAGGAATACCTTAGACTAGGCAATTTATAAAGAAAAAAGGTTTAATTGGCTCATGGATCTGCAGGCTATAAAAGCATGGCTCCAGCATCCACCCAGCTTCTGATGAAGCCTCAGGCAGCTGTTACTCCAGGCAGAAGGTGAGGGGGAGCAGGTGTGTCACATGGCAAGAAAGAGCACAAAAGAATGAGAAAGAAGGGAGGCACCAGACTCTTTCAAAAACCAACCAGCTCTTGAGTGAACTAACAGAGCAAAAACTCACTCTACTGCGAGGATGGCACCAAGCCATTCATGAGCGGCCCATCCCCATGATCCAGACTGCTCCCACTAGGCCCACCTCTAACACTCAGGATCACATTTCAAACATGAGATTTGGAGGGGACAACTATCCAAACCATAACACAAGGTTTTCCAATAATGGTGCTGGAACAATTGGTTATCCTCATAAAAAAGATGAGCTGATTGATTGATTGCTTGAGATGAGGTTTCACTCTGTCACCCACGCTGGAATGCAAGCATGATCATAGCTCACTATGACCTTGAACTCTTGAACTCTCCTGCTTCAGCCTCCTGAGTAGTTAGGACTGCCAGCATGCACAACCACACCAGGCTAAATTTTGAAAATTTTTTTGTAGAGATGGGGGTCTTACTATGTTGGCCAGGCTGGTCTCAAACTCCTGACTTCAAACCATCTTCCTGCCTCAACTCCCAAAGTGCTAGGATTATAGGTGTGAGCCATCACACCCAACCACAAAGGTGAATTTGGATCCTTAACTTATACAACACACAAAAATTAATTCAAAATGGATTGTAGACCTAAACTTAAGTGATAAAACTATAAAGCTTTTAGAAGAAAGCATAGGAGAAACTCTTCGTGATCTCCAGTTAAGCAGAGTTCTCAGATACAACATTAAAAGCATAACTCATAAATGAAAAAAATCAATAAATTGGAGTTAATAAAAATTACACACTTTTATACTTTCAAAGTCACTATTAAGTAAATGAGAAAGATAAGCGACAGGCTGGGAGTAAATATTTGCAAATCATAATTCTGATAAAGGTTTTTTATTTTATTTTAGTTTAGTTTTTTGAGACGGAATCTTGCTCTGTTGCCCAGGCTGAAGTGCAGTGGCATGGTCTTCGCTCACTGCAGCTTCTGCCTCCCAGGTTCAAGTGATTCTCCTGCCCCAGCGTCCTGAGTAGCTGGGATTAGATGCGCCTGCCACCACACCTGGCTAATTTTTGCATTTTCAGTACAGACGGGGTTTCACCATGTTGGCCAGGCTGGTCTCAAACTTCTAACCTCAGGTGATCCGCTGGTCTCGGCCTGCCAAAGTGTGGGATTACAGATGTGAACCACTGCGCCTGGCCACTGATAAAGATTTTAGCCAAGCATGGTGGCATGCACCTGTAGTCCCAGTTACTTGGAAGGCTGAGGCAGGAGGATTGCTTGAGCCCAGGAACTAATTTGAGGCCTCAGTGAACTATGATCATATGACTGGCATTCCAGCCTGCGTGACAGAGTGAGACTCTGTCTCCAAAAAACAAAAACACAAAACAAACAACAACAAAAAGGCTTTCATATCCAGAATATATGGAACTCTTACAACGCAGTAAGAAGAAGACAACCCAATTTTTTTTTTTTTGAGATGGAGTCTCGCTCTATCACCCAGGCTGGAGTGCAGTGGCGCGATCCCGACTCACTGCAACCTCTGCCTCCCGGGTTCAAGCGATTCTCCTGCCTCAGCCTCCTGAGTAGCTGGGACTACAGCTGCGTGCCTCCATGCCCAGCTAATTTTTTGTATTTTTATTAAAAATGGGGTTTCACCATGTTAGCCAGGATGGTCTCGATCTCCTGACCTCGTGATCCACCCACCTCGGCCTCCCAAAATGTTGGGATTACAAGGCATGAGCCACCACGCCCAGCCCCTAATTTTTAAAATAGGGAAGAGATTTGAGTAAACACTTCACTGAAGAAGATATATAAATGATTAATAAGCACATGAAAAGATGCTCAACATTATTAGTCATTAGTAATATGCAAATTAAAACCAAAATGAGATACCACTTCATGGCCATTAGGACAGCTGTAATGAAGAACACAGACAATAATACCTGTGGGCAACACTGTGGAGACATCAGAATCCTCATACATTGGTGGCAGGAAGGTAAAATGGTGCGGAAACTTTGGAAAACAGCTTGGCAGTTTCTTAAAAAGGTAAACATAAATGTATCCAGCAACCTAGCAATGGGACTCATAGGTAGCTACTCAAGATAAATGAAACATGTCTACAGAAAAGCTTTTGCATGAAGGTTCATAGCAGCATTATTCATAAAAGCCAAAATGTGAGTACAAATGTCCATCAATCAGTGAGTAGAAAAAAAAATGGGGTACATCCATACAATGTAGTACCTACCATTCAATGGTAAGAGGGAGTAACTACTGATCCATGCTGCAAACATGGATGAGCCTAGAACATATGCAGAGTAAAATGAGAAAAAAAAGAACCCAGATTGTATGACTGCATTTTTATAAAATGTCCAGAAGAGGCAAATCTATGGAGATGGAAAGCATATTAGTGATTGCCTGGTGTTGGAGATGGGAATGGGGATTGGCTAAAAGTGGGCATGAGGGGCTCTTGGGGATGTGGAAGTGTTCTAAAATGGGACTGTCATGATGATTGCACAACTCAGTAAACCTACTAAAAACGATTGAAGTGTGCACTTTGGGTAAATTATACAGTATGTAAATCATACCTCAATAAAGCTTGTTTATAAAAGGAACAAAAAGATAATTAGGAAAGCCTATGTTGGGAAGTTACGAAACATACATAGTTATACATAATGCATAAAAATAAAAAATTGAGCGGTGGCAAGCAGACAACTACATGTACTGGGTTTCCTGGTGGCCCAGAGTTGTGGCTTACAGAAGAGATGAACTATGGTCTGAGGATAATATGAATTGGAAAGACTTCTAGGAGAATGAGAGCCTCCTCGATGTCCCCCCAGAGATGGCTACCGTATTAGCTGTTCTCTCACTGCTATGAAGAAATACCTGAGACTGGGTAATTTACAAGGAAAAGATGTTTAATTGGCTCACAGTTCTGCAGGCTGTACAGGGAGCATGGCAGCATCTGCTTCTGGGGAGGCCTCAGGATCCACCTGCCTCGGCCTCCCAAAGTGCTGGGATTACAGGTGTGAGCCACCGTGCCGGGCCTATTTTTTCTTTTGTTACTAGAGGTGGGCTCTCTAAAATATCTTAGTTGCAATTTTTTTCCCACATGTAGACCCTCCTAATCCATGTTCATCTTTTTTTCTTTCTAAAATTATTAGTGACGGCGAATCTGTACAGGTCTGTAGCAACCTCAATTCTTGCGTCCTCAGAGGAAAGAATTTGACCGAGGGGCACGAGGCAGAGGGAGAGACTGAGGCAAGTTTTAGAGCAGGAGTGAAGGTTTATTAAAAAGCTTTAGGGCAGGAATGAAAGGAAGTAAAGTACACTTGGGAAAGAGCCACCTGGGCAACTTGAGTGATCAAGTGTGCCATTTCACCTTTGACTTGGGGTTGTACATGTTGGCATGCCTTGCGTCCCTTCTCCCCTGATTCTTCCCTTGGGCTGTCCGTGTGCACAGTGACCTGCCAGCCCTTGGGAGGGGAGTGTGCACAGTGTGTTCACTGGAGTTGTATGCATGCTCACTTGAGGCATTCTTCCCTTACCAGCCGAATGTCCCTGGAAAGTCATGTATCAGTTAAACTCACCATTTTGCCTCTTAGTGAGCATGCTTGAGCCCAGTTGCCCAACTCCTGAGATTAAGCAGCTGACCACCTGTTTCAGGTGTTTCTATCTACTGGGAGACGGCCTTTCCCTGGCACCAGCTGCAACCAATTATTATTTTAAACAGACAGTTAACAACCACCTGACCATCACCTGATGGTTGCCTGACATTTGTGGTGAGGTATAGGGAGCCCTCTCCTGCCCTGCTCATGCTTGACTAGCTACCTACTGTACCAAAATGATGGGCCAATTAACTTTTCAAGCTTTGAGAATGCAGCCTTGGAGAGCAGCTTTCTGTACTTATGTTCTGTAGTCTTCCACAGTATGTAATCATTTGCTTGTTACAGGAGTGTAATTTACAGGTTAGAGATCATTCCACTTAAACATTTGTAGTCTTTGCATCTCATAGTGTTACGGGATCTTTGGGGTGTCACTTTTCTGGCCAGAAACTTCTGTGGGCAGTGGTGCCTTTGCCCGAGTTCTTGTCCTGCATCCAGGAAGAATAAGGTACTCAGACAATGAAGGGCGAGCAAGACGAAGAGAAGCTTTGTTGAGTGTTAGGACAGTTCAGAGGAGACCCTCAGCGGGCAGCTCCTCTCTGTAGGCAGGTTGTCTCATCCAGCGTTCAGCTCTCAGCAGACAGGAGGCCCTGGAGAGGGTGGCTGCTCTCTGAAGGCAGGTCCCGGTTGGCTTCCCAGCTTTCAGCAGGAGCTTTCAGCTCCTCTCTGCAGCTGATCATCCAGTCGCCAGTCATCTCTCTGTCCTCTCCATCCTCTGCCCTTCTCTGGCTGATCCCAGGGCTTTTATGGACCTCAGAGGGGAGGAAGTACATGCCAAATGGTCTATGGGCGGCCATGGGCAGACTGGAAGAGGCACCACAAGTCCCCACTCTGGTCTGCAGGACTGTCAGCCAGGCTTCCAGGCTTCAGGCCCTCCCTGTTAGAATTCACAGCAGTGATTCTCAAGACTTGCATGCTTTTTCTTAGACTTTGTAACTTTTAATAAGTTAAAGGGTACTATCCCAATAAGCTGAATACTCTAGCATCTTAGAGAATATTTGCTTTGAGAAAAATTCTCATTCAATGGTAAAATAGAGCACTTAAATCTCTGAAAGTCACCTCGGAATAAAATTTTTCTTTCCAAGTAAATGAACTCAATGTCTGCTATTAAAATAATCCTAATAATTCCTGACTCTCACCAATGTGTGAGTCTTAAACAATATTATTTACAAGACTAATGAAAGGGGGCAACTTGAGGGATATTTTAAAGTTGAGATTTCTCAAAAATTGCTCGGAAACAAGAGCTAGACTCAGTCTCAAAAAAAAAAAATAAAAAAAGGAAAAGGAAGAAAGGAAGCGAGGAGGCCAAAGCACTCCCTTCACAAGTGAGCCATCCAAATCATGGGTTAGTTAAGAATCTACCTGGGATGGTTAGGATATTGCACTCATTTCCTGGTCCCTTCCAGCAGCCCACTGACATTGAGCCAAAATACGCAATTTTGTGGCATTAGTTAACTAGTGAGAAAACCTTAAAAATCCTGTTTCTTATTACTACCCAATTTCTTTATCCTCCCATTTTCTTTCCATTTCTACTCTCTTCTCACTGGAATTCTGGCATTATTTTTAGTGGCCTCTACTGATAATATCAAAAAGAGCTTCCCCAGGTATATATAAATTATATTAAAAGTGAAAATATGCCACGTTGAGTAGTTGGGTTAAAAAGAAAAAAAAAAAGTGTAAATAGGCCAGGCAGAGTGGCTCACACCTGTAATCCCAGCACTGTGGGAAGCCAAGGCATGAGGATTGCTTGGGGCCAGGAGTTGGAGACCAGCCTGGGCAACATAGTGAGATTCAGCCTCTACCAAAAAAAAAAAAAAATTAGCTGGGCATGGTGGCATGTGCCTGTAGTCCTAGCTACTCTGAAGGCTGAGATGGGAGGATCGCTTCAGCCCAGGAATTTGATGTTGCAATGAGCTATGATCGTGCCACTGCACTTCAGCCTAGGCAGCAGAAGCAAGATCTCATCTCGAAAAAAAAAAGTGAAAATAGCAGTATGCATAATTTTAATTGGATCCTATAATGATGCTCAAAATATCTGCTATGTCATTCCACAAATTTAAAACATAATTGAGGATAATTAGTTTTTAACATTTCCTAAATGAGACCATCTTTAATTGTTCTATTTGCCATTTAGATGTTATACTTATCTAATTTTTTAAAAACATAAGTCAAACTAAACCCTACATATCAACTCTGGTATTCTTTTTTTTTTTTTTTTTTTTTTTAAGATGGAATCTCGCTATGTTGCCCAGGCTGGAGTGCAATGGCGTGATTTCGGCTCACTGCAAACTCTGCCTCTTGGGTTCAAGCAATTCTCTGCCTCAGCTTCCTGAGTAGCTGGGATTATTTGTTACCCATTTTAGCTATCTAAGAAAGTACTAATCTTATTTTTCCTCTTTCCCGCCTCAATGTTGTCCTCTTCCTTAAATATTCTAGTCCCAGGATTCCATTCCTTTAGTCAAGATGTCACAAGTTTAAAAATAAAATCCGAGAAACTACCAAAGGCAAAGAACTTGTTCACTTTGTTGAAATTCATTAAATTAGAGAAGTCTTACTAACAGATGCACTTAAATGTAGGTTCAGCAGATAATTTCTTCTTCTCCACTTCCCCCAAATTACATTCAACATTGAAAGCTGTTTATAGCTTGCTATCAGCTTTGTTCTGGTAGGCTAGTCAGTATTGAAATCTGTTTGAGATTTTTTTTAAAGCCTTTTAAAGTCTAATTTTAGGAGGGATGAATTCAGACGCATGCCAGAGTGTGTATTTTACGGAATGTTCTTGATTAAGGAGATTTGTTTGTTAATTTTTCATTGTTTTTTAGTATGCCCAATTGATGAAATAAAATTTTCATTGTCTTACCATAAAGCTTTGATGATTAAGTAGAGGAATGCAGATATTGTAAAGCTTTTTGTGAGTTTTAAAAGTGCAATATAAAGCAACCACGTTTAAATAAAAATAATGATAACAATAAGAAGAAGAAATCATGGCCAAGTTGTGTTTATTTCTGTTATACAAGATTGTTACAATGTTTCACAGTTATTTAATATAATTCACCACATTAATAAATTAAAAGAGAAAAATAATTTGACAAAAATTTAACATCTGGCAGGGCACGGTAGCTCATGCCTATAATCCCAGCACGTGAGGAGGCTGAGGTGGGTGGATCACTTGAGGCCAGGAGTGTGAGAGCAGCCTGGGCAACATAGTGAAACTCGTCTCTACAAAAATTAGCCAGGTGTGGTGGCGCATGCCTGTAGTCCCAGCTACTTGGGAGGGTGAGGTGGGAGGATAGTTGAGCTCAGGAGGTGGAGATTGCTGTGAGCTATGATCATGCCATTGTACTCCAGCCTGGGTGACAGAGCGAGACCCTGTCTCAAAAAATAAAAATAAATAAAATAAAATTCAACATCAAAAAACCAAAAAGCAAAACCCCTTTTTAACAAACTAGGAATAAAAGAGAACGTTCTTAATCTGATAAAGGGCATGGGCAAAAACCCCCTATAGCAATGGCAATACTAATGGTAAAATGTTGAAAGCATTCCTCTTAAGATCAAGACCAAGACCTGAGTGCCTCACATCATGATTTTTATTCAGTTTTGTGCTAGAGGGCTCAGCCAGGGCTGTAAGGTGAACAAACAAACAAGCAAGCAAGCAACAAATAAAAAATACATAACATATATACATATATAATATACATATATAAAATATGGTGTAAGGATTGAAATGGAAGAAGCAAAGCTATTATTGTTTGCTGATGATATGCTTATCTACATAGAAAACCCCAAAGATTAAGAGAATATAGTCAGTCAACAGAATACAAAATCAAGGTGCAGGCCAGGTGCGGTTGCTCACGCCTGTAATCTCAGCACTTTGGGAGGCCAAGGCAGGCAGATCCCAAGGTCAGGAGTTCAAGACCAGCCTGGCCAATATGGTGAAACCCCATCTCTACTAATAATACAAAAATTAGCAGGGCATGGTGGCGCATGCCTATAGTCCCAGCTACTCGGGAGGCTGAGGCAGAAGAATCCCTTGAACCCAGGAGGCGGAGTTTGCAGTGAGCCAAGATAGAGCCACTGCACTTCAGCCTGAGTAAAAGAGCAAGACTCTGTCTCAAAAAAAAAAAAGAAAAGAAAAGAAAAAAATCAAGGTGCAATAATCAATTTTATGTCTATAGCAAAAAACAGAAAATGCAATAAAACAGAACGCTATTTACAGTAGCATAAAAATAAGATATATGAGAATAGATCTTTAAAAAGTTATTCAACACTTTTATGGAGCAAAATAAAACTATAGAAACAAGATCTAAATAAATTGAAAGATATGTTCACAAATTGGAAGAGTTAATATCATAAAGATGTTCATTCTCTCAAATTGATTTAAAAGTTCCCATGCAATTACAATAAAAATCTCAATTTTTTTCTGGAACTTGACAAGTTTTCCTTTAAAACGTTTTATTGAAGACTAATACATTCCTTTTTTTTTTTTTTTTTTTGAGGCAGAGTTTTGCTCTTGTTGCCCAGGCTGGAGTGCAGTGCAGTGGCGCCATCTCGGCTCATTGCAACCTCCGCCTCCCAGGTTCAAGTGATTCTCCAGCCTCAGCCTTCCAAGTAGCTGGGATTACAGGCATGCGCCACCATGCCCTGCTAATTTTTGTATTTTTAGTAGAGACGGGGTTTCACCATGTTTGTCAGGCTGGTCTTGAATTCCTGACCCCAGGCAATCCACCCACCTCGGCCTCCCAAAGTGCTGGGATTACAGGTGTGAACCACCATGCCCAGTGAAAACTAATACATTCCTGAAGAAGACAAAGATAGGACTTGCCTTGCAAAGTATCAAAAATTATCATTAACTTATAGTGATCCAGACAAGAGTGGTATTGACAAAGATATAGACAAACCAACCAATGGGAACCCAGAAACAGACCCAGACATATACAGAACTTGATTTTATTTCAGAGCAGCCATTTTAGTTTCAGGTGGAAGGATAGATTTTTCAATATGTGATACTAGGACAATTAGTAGATCTTAAAGAAAACGGGATATTAGACTCTTACATCAGTCTTTAACCAGGTTAGTTAATTACCTGTATGAGAAAAGGAAAAGTAAACTACTCTTAGAAATTTACACAGAAGAATAACTTTACTGGAGTGGGAGGTTTTTAAAATAAGACAGAGACAAGTCATAACAAAAAAGAATGATAGATTCAGTTACATTAAAAGTTAGAACTTCTGTTTATCTAAAGACAGATAAGTCATAAACAGGAAAACACATATAAACAATAAAGAGTTAATATCCAGATTATATAAAGAATATTTATAATGTATGTGAAAAGACAAACAACCCAATTAAAAATAGGCAAATGAACAGCAATTTCACCAAAGAGGAGGCATGGATGACTCACAAACATAGGACAATATATTCAGTCTCACTAATCAGGGAAATGCAAATTTAAACCACTATGGAACACCATTTCACACCTACCAGATTGGCAAGAGTTAAAAATTAATCAATATCAAATGTCAGTAACCATGCGGAACAATGGGAACTTACAGACATTGTGGGTGAACATATTAGTTGGTAAAACTAATTTGGAAACAGTTATTACCTACTAACGTTGACCATCTGCATAATCTGTGACCTAGCAATTCTATTGCTACGTATATATCCTAGAGAAACTCTTGTACATGTACATTAGTATTCAAGAATGTTTCTAGCAGCGTTGTTAAAATGATGGTCAAAAACTGGAAAAAAAAACCACAAACGTTCATAAACAGTATCTTATATATAATATTCCATTCATATCATGGAATGCTATATCACAGAGAAGAAAATTAACATTTTTTCAACAACATTGATGAATCAACAACTCAACAACATTGGTGAATCCTGTGCACTCTGTGGGTGAGGCCCCAGGTGCCTGCTGCCATAAAGGGCCGAGGCAGACATCAGAGAAGAAGACAAGCAACAAGGAACCTCGAGCCACTGACCCTAAGTTCTAGAGCAGCCTCACTGGATATAAGATGTTAGGCATTTTACACAAGAAAGAACAGAAAACCAAGGTTTTACTAAGCAAGCCATGCCAAGAGCTGAGTGCCTGGGACAATGTACTAGATATTTTGCTGTGTCTGCCTCATGTATCCACTTTTCTAACTGCTACTACACACATCTACAGAGTTACCATAGAAGCAGCAACTGTAAATAATGTGACCCTGCTCCCTGCCCCTACTGGCTGCAGGAGATTGGTCTAAACTGGGCCAGTCAGAACCTTCCCTGAGAACTGTGGCACTGGAGTGAAACAGAGCTGCTGGTGGCCATGCTTCCTCCCTGTGGACCACAGTAGTAGTGGAGATGGGTTCATTAGAGAAAGAATAATGTAACATAAATGTCATCACCAAATGTAGGCTCTATAAAAGCAGGGATTGTTGTCTATTTCGGTTTATTACAGTATTCCAAGTGTCCGGAATATGTCTGGCACATAGTAATAATAGTAACATAGATATAGATAGATAGATAGATAGTGCTTACTATGATCAGACAACTGTCTTAAGCTTCATACATGTAATTCATTTGCTCCTTATAACAACCCTATAAGGTAGAATATTATTATCCCTACACTCAATATGAGAAAACTAAAACTGGAACACAGAGTAACTTGCCTACAGTTCCAAAAAGAGTAGGTGAAGGAGCTAAGATTCAAACACAAGTCATTTGGTTCCTGAGTTTGTGCTCTTAATCAATACCTTATGCCACCTCTCAACATATATATGTTGAATGAAGAATGAATGGACAAATCAGACATGTAGAAAGGAGAGCTGGTGTGAGAGATAATTCCATTAACAATCAAGTACCTGGTTCAGAGGGTCTTTGCAGTTCAGTTCTGCTCTTGTCCTTGGGTTCTGCAAAACCCATGCTCACCTGGTCTTATAAATGGGACCGGTTTCCTGGTTCTATGATCTGCGCAGTAGCACAGGGCCCCATGCTCAGAAGGGCCCCTGTGCTTGGTTTAATGCTCTGTTGTCACTGTCACTAAATTCTTAATAATTTTATCTTTGAACTTGTGTCTTATAAGCAAAGTCTGATGGGACAATAGAGTATACACACAAACAGAAAAAACACGTCCAATATACATGCCGCCACTGGTAGTTGCCACTCCATCCTCATACAGCGTGTGTAATGTCCCATGAGCACAGAGTTCTGGTAAACTGGCAACGCATGGGAGTTCAGCAAGACTCAAATAGGTGTCAGGTAAGTGTGTTATGTCCACAGCTAAGTAAGCAGAGGCACCAAGACTCACGAGAAGCCTCACTTTCCTCAAACCAGAACTTGTTTCGAACATAGGAAGAACAAAAAATTGCATTCTAAAAATGCAAACGACCAAGGAATTTTATCATATCCTTTCTTACTAGTGTTACTCACCTGCATTAGCCAACTACTTAAACACTGAAAGTGATAACATCAACAGCAAGGGAATGAGAGGACCACCAGAGTTCCTTTTCTTTCCAGTTCTTCCTTACTCATCAGTGAGTCAAAGGTAGAGAGGACAGATGGAATGGATATGCATTGAGAAGTGAAATAAAAACAGTTGGATTAGTTTTGTGCAGCATTTCCACCATCTGGCAAAAAATGAAATACACACGCATGTATGAGCTACTAAATACAAACTGTATAACTTTGGTGATTCTGCATGTGAGTTAAATGCTCTTATATTTGCATTTAAAACTGGCATTGCACAGTGAGTGTGAAGATGAAGGGCCGGACACGGTGGCTCATGCTTGTAATCACAGCACTTTGGGAGGCCAAGGTGGGCGGATCACTTGAGGTCAGGAGTTCGAGACCAGCCTGACCAACATGGTGAAACCCCATCTCTACTAAAAATACAAAAATTAGCCGGGCGTGGTGGTGTGCGCCTGTAATCCCAGCTACTCAGGAGTCTGAGGCAGGAGATTCTCTTTAACCCAGGAGGCAGAGGTTGCAGTGAGCTGAGATCAAGCCACAGAACTCCAGCCTGGGTGACAGAGTAAGACTCCAGCTCAAAAAAAAAAAAAAAAAAAAAAGGTGAATGATAAAGTTAATGCTACTAATTTAAAATTGTTATTTTTATTTACTTAAGAATGACAAAATCACAAATAAAAAACATCATGATAAGTTGAGAGAGAGAAACTGTGGAAGAAATAAAGCTATATATTTTAGTACCTTTGATGCACTTTTTTCCTGCTTTTGGAAAGAAGAGCCCCACGTGCTCATTTTGCAGTGGGCCTCACAAATTACACAGTCAGCCCTGCTTATAAATTCCCTTTTAACCAAAGCCAGCTTGATTTAGTTTCCTAGTATTTATTAACAAAAATCCTAACTAATTTGGAAACCTAATCTAAACTGGCTGGAGGGTTTAACTTTATACTTTGTCCTAACTTTTATATGCAAATGAGAGGAAGTATGATGCAATGGAAAGTGCATGGGCTTTTATAGGCACAGAAAAGAGGCTCTGAGAGGTTCGCTAACTTCGGCAAAGTCGCACACCTTCCAAGCCAAAGGCTGAGCTTTGAATTTGGTTCAGGGTGACTGTAGAGAGTTCAGTAGAACTTTCTGTGATCATGGAAACGTTCTCTAACTGTGCTGTCCAACATGGTAGCTACTGGCCACATACAGCTATTGAGCCCTTGAAATGTGGCTAGTGCAACGGAGGGACTGAATTCTAAACTATATAAATTTTTTTTTGAGACAGGATCCTACACTGTTGCCCAGCATAGAGTGCAGTTCCATCACGGCTCACTGCAACTTCAAATTCCCAGGCTTCAAATGATCCTTTCACTTCAGCCTGCGAAGTACCTGAGACCACAGGCACACACGACCATGCCCAGTGAATTTTTAAAATTATTTGTATAAGCAGGGTCTCCCCATGTTGCCCAGGCTGGTCTGAAACTCCCGGGCTCAAGCCATCTTCCCACCTCAGCCTCCCAAAGTGCTGGGATTACAGGCATGAACCTCTGGGCCTGGTCCTATTTAATTTTGATTAATTTCAATTTAAGTAGTGTAATGGATGCTATGTAATTGTACTGCACAGACTTAGAGCCCCCAGGCTTGACTGACCCAGTGAATGTGGAGGGGTCCCTGGCTCCCCCTGGTCAGGGCCCTTCTAGGTGAAGGTGTCAGAGTACCCAGCCAGAGCCTGGTACACAGTCGGTGCTCAACACAGAGCGGCTCAGGGGCTTATGGGCGCCCAGGCCTCATTTCCATTAAGTGACAGATTTAGACGGGGGACTGGAAGGGAAAAAGGAAGGCGTGTGTCTGAGTTGCCACCACAGAGTCACTTTCTCCCATCCTCTGAGGCAAATGTGGGAAAGGACTAGCCCTCAGCGAGGTCAGGACAGCCCCTCGGTGACTAAAGCTCGCAGGAATCCACACCCAGCTGGATCAGCTGCATTTGTTGCCCACAGAAAACCTTCCCGGAAGGGCCCAGCTTCCAGCGAGCTGGGAAGACGTGTCAGGGAGATTAAGGCGCCTCTGGTATGTCTCTGGAAAGCAGCCAACATACCCCGAGCTGTCGTCACGACAGACCCAGATGGGAGCTCACCCGGCCAGACCTAAACTCATTTTGACACATGGTGGAAGGTGTAAGGCCCCAGCCCCGATGGCCACTGCAGCCCACCGATGCACTGCTAGCCCTGGGAGGCCCTGCTGTCACGCCTCCGGCCTAAATCAGACTGTCGTCTCCCCTCTCCCTTGACCAGCACCCCCTTCCCTGGCTTATTGAGGCCTCTGCCTAAACCACGTCTCCTCTGGGAAGCCTTCCTATCCCCGCCTTCCCAGGCTGGGTTGGCCCTGCCTGTAGCCCTGGCGAATCATTAATCATTAATCATTAGCAAATAAGTCAACCCCTGCTGCTCTCCCCACAGCATAACCCAAGCAGAGGGCCCGGTGAAGAACAGCTCAACTGCACACCTGCTTCTGCAGGGTGAGGCAGCTGCACCTGTGACTTGGCGTTCATTTTCGCCAACACCATGTCTCTTCTTTGCCATAGCATCTCAGTCTGTCCAGCTCAAGCCTCCCCAGAAGCATCTCTGAGGCCGCCTGCTGCCCATTATACAACACCTTGCTCCTCAGGCTATCCCTAGCACCCCGCTGCCCCTGCCAATATACCCTCCAACTTTGAGGATTCTCCATTGAGGTGATTTCAAATGACATGGTAACAAACAGAGATTTGATTTTATTTTCATAGATTCTTATTTCCTTGTCAGAGCCACTTAAAAGGGAGCTAGGTGAATCCCCAGCTGGTGACTGTGAAGGGCCTGAGTTAGAGTGAGAAAAAGAGAAGGTATTGTATCTAGGGTAATCAGGGAAGGCTTCGAAGAAGAGGGGGATTTAACCTGTAACTTTCGTGACAAGGAAGGACATTCTAGGCCAAGGAAATAGCACAGGCAAAGGTGCAGAAGCCTGAGACAGGATGCAGCGTTCCAGGACCCTGCAGTGGTTTGGTGTCATAGGAGCTGGAGGGGTGACGGAAGGAGTAGGAGGTAATGCTGAAAGGGTGAGGAAAAGGGTGAAAGTGCCTTGCAGGGGAGCATAGACTCGATGCTGCAGACCGGGGTTTCCCAGGCGTGTTCTCCAAACACCAGGCCCAGGGAGTTCTCTGCTCCAGAGGAGGGGTGGGATTCTCTATTCTCCACTTGGTGACTTCCTCCGACACAGCCGCTACTGTAAAGACTTTCATAGTAACTACCTGGGGCTATCTGCAAGGCACTGGGCCACGCTCTAACCATGGCGCATGCAGCACTGTATGACCCACATCAAAACCCTATGATCTAGGTACTGTTGCATTATCCCCATTTTACAGGGAAGTTAAGAAATGTTCCCAAGGTCACACAGCTGGTTGAAGGTAGAGCTGAGGTTTTAACTCTAGCAGTCTGACTTTGAGCTGTCTCAGAGGAAATAACGTGCTTAACTTTTTGTTTCGTCCAGCATTTCCCAAACTTCCTTTTGATGTAATTATGGAAAAATTGTCTTGCACATCTAGTGACATTGTAAAAGGCAGTTGATTCTTTGTCAATGGTGAACTATTATAGGGTTCTGACCCAGGAGACTTGATTTGATTTGCAAATATTCTTAGTAAACTCATTATCAGTCACTTACACTTTAGTGTGAATTAGTCCGTTCTTGGGGTCTCTCCACTTTCTTATAAGCTTCCTGAAGGCAGGGCAGGTACTGTCTGATTCACTGTTGTGTTTCTAGTACCCAGGGGGTGTGGCACACTAAATGGTGCTATAAGAACATTTGCTAGAGTGAGTTGAAATTCTCCTGTTGAAGACCGTAGGAACAGTGGAAAGAATGGCTGTAGTCTGGTAGGCAGGTAGTGGTAGGCTCAGCCTGTGGGAGAGAGGAGTCAGTGGTGGCTATAGGGCACGTCCTGGGAATGGGAGTCATGGAGCTGTGGTAGAAAGCAAGACTCACCTATATCATGGCACAGCTAAAGGCCAGGTCTGGGCTGGGTGTGGTGGCTCATGCCTGCAGTCCCAACACGTTAGGAGGCCAAGATGGGAGGATTGTTTGAGCCCAGGAGTTGATCAAAACCCAAATCCAAATACCTACTTAGCATATTTTCTCTTCTGGGAAGTAACTAACCACCTGATTATTTGGAAAATGAGGCATTTGTTGGAGTTGAAGGTGTAGCAAGAAACTTTTGGTTTTAAGAGTCAAAGTCAGAGGAAAAAAAACTCTCAGACTTGTATTCACCCCCACCCCCCACCCCAAGCTACTGCAAAGAGCAGGGGCTTTGGAAGATTGGTTTGTTGAAATGAAGTTCCTTTGACAAAGGTACCTGGGCCCATTTCTCTCATTCTAAAAAGGACAAGACTGATACCCAGAGACGGCAAGGTCACAGAGCTGATTAAATTGGGATCAGAATCTTCTCAGTCAGGAGCTCTGTCCATGGCTTCAGAGCCTGTGCCCCAGTCCCCTCTCCCCACCTCTCCCCTATGCCCCACTTGGCCCGTCCTCTTCATCCTCTGCCCCTGTCTCCTATGTCAGGAGGAGGAAGCCCCTGTGTGCACCCCACCCTTTACCTCCCACCCTCACTGCAGACTGCACTTCCCATTCCCTGCTGCCTGCTGCCTGACTGCTCCTAATGAGATTACAGATCTCTGGTGAAATAGACGAGGGTTAATTCCCCCAGGCTTTACAGGGCAGGGCAGGCCAGGCCACAAGAAATAGCAAAAAGACACCTATTCTCCAAAGCACTAAGTGTGATAATGACCCTAAGAGTCCGTTCCCCTGTTCAGCACACCAGGGTTCACACTGCGTTTCCAAATACCCTCTGGGTGGAATTTTGTACCAGCCCTAACAAAGTAGATGCTGTTATCATCTCTATTTTACAGATGGAGAAACTGAGGCACAGTGAGATGAAATGCTTGTCTGAGGTCACACAGCTAGTAAGTGGCAGAGCTGGGACCCGAATGTGGGTCTCTTGGGCTCTGTCATCTTTAAAAAATAATAGGCCCAGAGAGCCTGCAGGGTGCCCAGCACCAGGCTTGAAACAGCCCTGAAGCATCTACGTCCCATTTCCCGGTGAGTGGCACAGCCCACCTTTGAACTCAGGTCCCCTGGACTCGAATCTACATTCCCCACAATACTGCCAAGCACCCTTGAACCTATCTGCCTGTTCATGTGGTGGAAACAGACTGGCCTAGCCCTGACTTCTGACCTCTGTGACCATGGCCAAGGGACTGGCTTCTGGGGTCTCAGCCTCCCTTTCTGAAAAATGAAGGTGGGAACCCTGGGATCTTTGGGACAATTCCCTATGATTGGCATAGCTAAGGCAGCCAGCACAGGCCTGGCCCGCAGCACATGCACCCACCCACCTCAGTTTCTTTATCTGTAAAATGGTGATATTAATAGTACTTATTTCTTGGGATTGGTGTTAGGATTAAATATGCCAGTACATGTAACACTCTTCTAGAATGGCACCTGGTGCATAGTAAATGCTTAATTAATGTTGAGGGAAACTGATATCTTACTGTCTTGTTTTTGATTCTTTCTGGAAGGAAGCAGGGGTAAAGATCAAACCAACCAAGCAAATGTTCCTCTTGTTCCTTCCAGTACCTGGTCCACTCAACTGTTTAAGAGGAACGCTTGGCTTTGAGGCCTGAACTCCTAGACCACGTGGTCTGCTCTAATTTCCCAGGCCCTAATCTGCTCCCAGCTCCTAATGATGCAGCTGGTAATAGGATTGTGGCTTCCCTCTAAGGCGGCCACACGGGCATGGCCGTGGGGCTGGCGACTGGTGTTTAGCAACTCCGACCACCTGCCTGCTGAGGGGCTAGAGCCCTCAGCCCAGACCCTGTGCCCCCGGCCGGGCTCTCATGCGTGGAATGGTGCTGTGCCCCTTGCCAGCAGGCCAGGCTCACCATGGTGCCGCATGCCATCTTGGCACGGGGGAGGGACGTGTGCAGGCGGAATGGACTCCTCATCCTGTCTGTGCTGTCTGTCATCGTGGGCTGCCTCCTCGGCTTCTTCTTGAGGACCCGGCGCCTCTCACCACAGGTCAGCCACCCAGAGCATCTCGGGACCCCTGTCCAGGAGGGGCGTGTGGGCCTGAGGGATCTGGGGTCCCGTTCTAGCATCACAGCTCCCTGGTGCCATGACAGTGTGTGAATCCCTCTGCCTCTCTGGGTCCTGGTTTTCTCATCTGTAACATGGGTGTGATAAACACTTTGCAGGACTAGAGGGAAGAACCAGTGATGTGGCTGGGGAGTGATTACAAACCCAGCACCATCAGGTGAGGAGAGGCGAGGGTGCCTCATGATGACAAACACAGGGCCAAGAGCTGTGGCGGGGAAAGAGGGGGGTCTTGTGTGAGTTCAAACAGGCACCAGAGAACACCTCCTAAAGGCTGCTCAAATGACAAGAGATCCAGGAAGCGTGCTCTAGGCAGAGGTGACAGCAGATGCCAGGTGCAGCGGCCGGAGCGCAGAGGCCAGCAGGCCCATAGGTCCCATCGCCACACGTGGGCTTGCGGCAACCATGAGATGCTTTTGGGCAGAAGAGCGACAGGCCAGTTTGGAGCTTGGGAGACCCCTCAGGTGCTGAGTGGAGAGGGGGTGATTCTGGGGCAGGCAGGGGGCCGAGAAGGGGCAGCCTGGGGGAGATGCGGCAGTGCAGACAAAAGGGACAGACGTGAGAACTGTTTTCAAAAGGGGGAGCTTCAGGATGTGGGGGCCGATTGGATGTGGGCTGGGGGACAGGAAGGGGAGCCAGGCCCCGGGTTTCCAGCCTGTGTAACTGCCATGAAGAAGCTGCGTTTCCTGGGAAAGAGCCCCTTTCCCTGTCAGCCCCCATCTCCTACAGGAGAGGGAGGGACATTCCCATGGTGTTAAGGACAAAATCATTCTGCCACTAGTTAAACTGGTAAGGAAGGCTCTATTCAGGACTATTGTGGTAGGGGGGTAGTTATCAAGACCTCCTGGGGAGAGAGATGGGACCCAACCACAAATACAACAAAGATGGCTGGAGATTTATAGCCAGCGAGCAGAGGGAGGGGGTCGGGGACAGAAAATGACTACAGGAGACATCAGGGTAGGGGGATTCTTGTTGAAGGCAGGCCAGGGTGATCAGACATTGATCTGGGATGAGGAATTTGATCCAGTATCAGGATGCTGGAGGGTGAGGGATCCTCACTAAACTGACTTGGCAGGACTTTTGCTACAGCTGGACTATGCAGGCTGAAGACAAGGCCCAAGGACAAAGCCCAGTGGAAAAGAGGGCTCAGAGGAGCCTGTCTAAAGTGTGGTCAAGGAGAGAGGCTTTGTCAATGGGCTCCTGGAAGAGTCCCTATTCCCAGAAAGTCCTCTTCCCGCAGCTCACTAATGTCTAATGCCATCTCTACAACTGGGGTCAGGCATTAGACTTTGTCTTCCATTAAAAGGAAAACACCCACTCCTGGAGAACTGAGCCACGACTATAGTGACCCTGTTAAGCCTCGAGCAGTTATTTAGGAAGAAGCATGGACTCTGGAGGCAGAGAAACCCTGAACTTTGACTCTGCTAGCAAATGGCTAGGCAATATCCTCTCTCCTCCCTGGGCCTCAGTTTCCTTGTCTGTAAAATGGGATGTGGGGCAGTATATGTCTACTAGAATTATTATGAGGAATAAACCAAGGATTCATCAATGCCCAGCATACAGTAGGTGCTTACTACGTGTTACTTCCCCCTCCCTCCCTTATGTACCTGTTAAAGTCCTATCTACATCAGGAACCATCTCATCATCCATAGCTGATGAAAGTAACTGTAACCCCGCTGCTGGCTGCCTGGCTTCAGAGCTGGTTATATGGGTGTCTCTTTCTCCCACCAAGCTGCATATTGCTGAACAACATATGGGTTTGTTTTTTTTTTTAACCAAAACGTGAGCCTAGCCCTGTGTCAGGCACAGAGAGAACGCTCAACTATCTGCTGCATTAAACTGGCAATGGAACAAAAAAATCTGCAATCTGTTCTCTTTAATTTTCCTCAGCAACAAAAATATATCTCCTGCAGGAAGATTATTTTGTGAAAACAAATTGGAATGCCTATTATTAAAAGCCAAACTCATCTGGGGCCTACTTTGCCAAAGCTGCCTTTCCCATCTGTTTGGAAATGCAAATGTATTCCAGTCTGGATTAACCTGCCAGATAAATTGAAGGAAGGATGTAGAGGCTTAGAACAATTATTTGGCAGAAACTGGCTTTCTCAGCATCTTACTTTGAAATCTGGGATTTCTCTGTTTGATCTCTTTGCCTGTGACTCAGAAACTAAACACTTCTTGTTTTGTAAGCTTATGCAACAGGCAAAAATCATAAACAATATGGAAAATGGTAGAATGTTCTATTTGTGAAAAAGAACTTTTATCCTTGATAAAATCACAGGATTTTATCTTGGTGTATGAGTGTCTCATTTAAAAATACTGAGCATTTTGAGACTTCCAGTTAAACCATGGTGAATCACAGGTGTATCCATTTTTTTCCCTCCTTCCTAGAATTCCACTAACATTTTAGTAATGGGATTTTTAAAAGGTAAAACCACCAAGAATAAAGAGAATATAAAAGGAGACAGTTGAGAAAAAGAAATAGAGAGGCTACAACAAATTAGATAATATGGAGGTGGGTGGAGCTGATGACCTCATTCACAGAAAGCTGGAATCTTAGTCTGTGGAAGTTGATACCAAGTCAGTTTGTCTTGCAGACTCCAGAACGTAACAGAGCAAGATGCTGCACTAGGCAGGGTGAGGCTGGGGTTGAAAGCCTGGGCATGGTTTGGAGTTTTGTAACCAGAGCAGTTAGACCCCTAGGGACCTTCCAATTCAGTTGGGGGACTCATCCACCCATCTCCACCCACTGCCTGCCCCAAGGAACCAGAGAAGCTGGACTTGAGGGTATTGGGCCACCCCTGTGTGTGTTGGGGAGAGGGCCATGCTGAGGCACCTACTTCAAACTAATTAACAGACATCCTTGTCTGAGTGGGGTCCCCAGCACGGTTTCAGATCGCTGTCAGCTGAGCTTAGGCACCATGTCATTCCTCAGCCAAAGGCAGGAAGAGACTTCTCTCACTGAGGCCTCAGAGAAAAGATCTCTAAATTCTGCTATAAAGGAGACTCCTCTACCATCCCACCCAGCCCCAGTGAAAAAGCCAGATCAGCACCTGTCACCCTGCCCTGAGGGCCGTCAGTTGACAAACCCTACTCATACATGCAGAAGTTTAGCGCTTCAAACTTACATACGAGCAGAAAGCCACGCCACCAGAAATGTGAGGAGGCTCCTAATGTGAAACAGAGTAAACGAAGAGAAAAGGGGGTCTCTAATGAGAGAAACAAAGAGAAAAGTGGGTCTCTAGTGAAGCAGAGACAAGGCGGGGAGGAGAAGGAAGCTTTGTAAATCTCCTCTTAAGCTTTCTGGAGCTGCGAGTGAAGATATAGTTACCGTACAACAGAGGGGATGTGAAAAGAAGGAACAATCAGAGAACAAGAAAGAATCTGGGGAAATTAAAAATAGAAGAACTAAGATAAAAATGTGAGTAGCTGCCCAACACATAGAAAGGATAAATACTCGAAGTGTTGGAGACCCTGAATACCCTGATTTGAACATTACACAGTGTATTTAACAATATACCAACTGTATCCCATAAATATGTACAAATATTATATATTAATATAAAAACTTTGGCTAGGCCTGGTGGCTCATGCCTGTAATCCTAGCACTTTGGGAGGCCAAGGCGGGTGGATTGCCTGACCCCAGGCATTCAGGGCCAGCCTGGGCAACATGGTGTGAGACCCCATCTCCAAAAAAAAAAAAAAAATTAATGTCAATAACTGGGATAAAGTTGTAGAAATCTCCCAGAAACTAGAACAAAAATAAATGAAAATAGAAAAAGAAAATATAAGAAAATTAGAATGTTCAATGTCCAGCTACCTAATGACACTTTTAGAGACAGCTAACAGAAGAAAAATAGAGGAGAAACAGTTTGCAGAGAATCTAAGCAGTTTCTCAGAAGTGAAAGGCAAGCATAGCACTGTCAATTTTGTTTACAAAAGAAAGAAAACCCCATACTATGGCCCATCACCATGAAATTACCAAAAAGTGGAGATAAACTGATGATCTTTGGATGGTTCTGGTGGAATAAAACCAACCTCATCTAAGGAACAGGAAATCAGAATGGCTTTGAACATCTTAAGCAAACTGGAAGCTAGAAGACAAGGGAGAAACACCTTCTAAACCTGAGGGGAAATTATTTCCAACGAAGTATCTCACACATGGCCAGGCTAATATCAGAGGTAAAGGTAGAATAAAGGCATTTTTACTCATGTAAGGACTCAGAAAAGTTTATCTCCCATCCACTCTTTCTCAGAAAGCTACCAAAGGAGATGTTTCAGCAAAACAAGGAAGTAAACCAAGAGGACAAAGGATCCCAGAAACAGGGGGCCCTCTAAAGGACAAGTCCCAGAATGACAACCAAGAAGGAAACCATGACAAGCACTGGGCCTAGAGAGCAGTCAGTCCAAACTGGAGCAGGAAGGTGGAAAGCTCACAGACCAAGGCCCCAGGCAGGATAAAAGAGAACTGATGTGCTTGAGAGAGCAGAAAATACTATTGTTAGGTAGTTTAGTAGACATGTTAAAATGTTTGGAAGAAATTAGTGGGTGATTCCCAGAAAACAAGACAAATAAAAATCAGTCAATTAACTTTAGGCTACAAGCAAGGAGACATGGTTGTAGTACATTACTTGGCTCAATGGTAAACACTGTTTGGCGATCAAAACATTGTAAATCTTGATTTACTAAAAAATTGATATAAATATAATGCTGAAATAGGTGGAGAGAAAGGGAGTAAGAACTAACTCCTCATCAATCATGGCAGGGAAATTGATAGATGTCAAAATGATGAATCAAGAAATAGCATTATGACCATATTATCTAGAAATAGTGATACTATGGGAAACAGCTAGAAGAACTGAGCATGTTCACTACTGGGAAGTTGCAAGATAGGGATAGAGAGAGGTGAGGCAAGAGCTGCCTTTTTATCAGTAGAGCACTTTTTTTTTTTTGGAGATAGCGTCTCCCTCTGTTGCCCAGGCTGGAGTGCAGTGGTGCGATCTTAGCTCACTGCAATCCCCGCCTCCTGGGTTCAAGCGAATCTTGTGCTTCAGCCTCCTGAGTAGCTGGGACTACAGGCATGCACCACCATGCCCAGCTAATTTTTGTATTTTTAGTAGAGATGGGGTTTTGCCATGTTGGCTGGGCTGGTCTCGAACTCTTAACCTCAAGTGATCCACCTACCTTGGCCTCCCAAAGTGCTGGGATTACAGGCATAAGCCACTGAGCCTGGCTATTAGAGCACTTTTAACTTAAAGAATATATACATGTGGGTGCCAGTGCAGTGGCTCACACCTATAATCCCAGCACTTTGGGAGGCCTAGCTGGGAGGACTGTTTGAGTCCAGGAGTTTGAGACTAGTCTGGGCAACATAGTGAGACACTGTCTCTACAAAAAATACAAAAATTAGCTGGGCTTGGTGGCATACATCTGTGGTCTCAGCTACTCGGGAGCCTGAGGTGTGAAGATTACTTGAGCCCAGGAGGTGGAGGTTGCAGTGAGCTGAAATCATGCCACTGCCCTCCTGCCTGGGTAACAGAATGAGACCTTGTCTCAAAAAAAAAAAAAAAAAATATATATATATATAATATATATATGTTTTTATATATTATATATGTTTATATATATTATATATGTTTATATATTATATATGTTTATATATTATATATGTTTATATATATGTTTATATATATTATATATATGTTTATATAAATATATGGACTAAAGTTAATTAAAAATATATTGTTGGCAGGGCATGGTGGCTCACGCCTGTAATCCAAGCACTTTGGGAGGCCGAGGCGGGCGGATCAACAAGGTCAGGAGATTAAGACCATCCTGGCAAACATGGTGAAACCCCATCTCTACTAAAATACACAAATTTAGCCGGGCATAGTGGCGCGCACCTGTAGTCCCAGCTACTTGGGAGGGTGAGGCAGGGGGATTGGTTGAACCTGGGAGGCGGAGGTTGCAGTGAGCCGAGATGGCACCACTGCACTGCACTCCAGCCTGGTGACAGAGCAAGACTCTGTCTAAAAAATATATATATATAATATATAATTATATATATTATTTTATATATATATATATAGAGAGAGAGAGAGTCATGATGGGCATATTTCTTTAAAAAGCAGATTTTCTGGTGCATTGGAAATGTTAGCAGTCCTGGTCCTGTGCTGCGGTTAACATTGGGTGGGTCTGTCACCTCCCTTTTGCGGTTCAGCTTCCTCATCTATCACATGAGTGGGCTGGGCTAGAAGATCTCAAGAGTCCCCTCATAGCACCAACATTTGATGATTTGGAGATTTTTAAAGCATCAGATCATCAACCGAGTATGTTTGGCTTTGGTTAAAAAAAAATAGTTGCAAGTACAACAATTCAACTTGGATGATGTTTGAAAGTCCATTTGCCTGCCTCGCCCACAACCTCACCCTCTGAAGAAAGTGGCCCCATGCCAGGGTTGCCAGAAGTAGCAGAACTGAATTAAGTTAAAAAATTTTATAAACAGCACACCCAGTTAAACTGGAGTTTCAGATAAACAGCATTTTTTTTTTTTAGTATAAGAATGAACTATATGTTGTTATCTGAAAGTCTGATTTAACTGGGCTTAGCAGCCCTTCTGCTTCAGTTGTCAGGTCCTGGTCACGTGACTGTTACTTGCGAGACAGCTTATTGGGCAAGGAGTTGGCGCCTTAGTCAGAGATCCGTGGACAGGCTGGAGCCAGCGGCCTAGGAAGGGGTCAGGCGTAAGAACTCTGCCAAAGGGGGCTGTTTCTACCGCGTGGTGTTGCACCCATTCAATCTGATCCTCTCTCTCTCAGCATTTTCGAGGAGAAGCACTAGAGAATGGACCCAAAACAGATGGAGAAACTGACTCGCAAGGCGGCCATGGTCTGCTTAGGAGTGGGTCTCCTCACCAGCTAGGCTGGGAACTTCTCAGGACAGGAACCCTGCCTAGTTCATGTTGGGGTACCCACTGTGATGCGTGGCACGATGCGGGTTGAATGAATGCATGAACAGTACTCGGCTCTGTCCTCTGGTCACCTGCCATCTGCTACACGAGAGAGATTTTATTCCATGGCTAGGCAGATGCGTGGTGCAGATGGAGGAGAGCTGTTATTTTCAGGATTACCAAACATTGGCTGTCATCCAGGCGCTGTGCTAAGTGCTTGCGTGCATTCTCCCGTTTAAGCCCCCCAATGACCCTGTGAGGCAGAGCAGTCCCCCCTTATCCGCCATTTCGCTTTCTGTGATTTCAGTTACCGATGGTCTGAAAAATGGGTGAGAACAGTACTGGAAGATATTTTAAGAGAGACCACATTCACATAACTTTTATTACAGTATATTCTAATCGCTCCATTTGATTATTAGTTACTGTTAATCTCTTACTGTGTCTAATTTATGAATTACATTTTATCGTAGGTATGTACATATAGGAAAAAAACAACGTCCACAGGGTTCAGTCTCTGTGGTTTCAGGCATCCACTGGCGGTCTCGGAACCTGTCCGCTGAGAATAAGTAGGGACTACTGTAGTTATTACCCTCATGTTACAGATGAGAAAAATACAAAACTCAGAGTGGTCACAGAAGATGCTTAAGGCCACACAGCTTGTGGGGGATTGGTGGAGGCGGGGTGTTTACCAGGATTGGAACCCAGTTCTGTGGCTCCAAAGCCAGTTCTTTCTCCATGGTCTCTGCTGCCATGTGCTAGACAGGGGAGTCAGATGGGATAGTGCTTCAAAGACTGTGAAGAACGGAACCACTGTGCAGTCTGCATCTCTTGCTATAACCCCAGTTCTTACTGTGTTTTCAGGAAATTAGTTACTTCCAGTTCCCTGGAGAGCTCCTGATGAGGATGCTGAAGATGATGATCCTGCCACTGGTGGTCTCCAGGTGAGAGCGGGGGTTTGACCAGGTGGTCCGGAACCAGGAGGGTAGAGGATGGCTTCTGTTGCTGCCCTGCTCCTGCTGTGGGTGGCTGGAGAGCAACCACAGGCCCTGGGATGAGTGTGACCGTGGGGCCTTTATGGGCAGTGCCGTGGGCTGCCGGCTTCTGAGTCATTCAGTGGCCCCAGTTGTTGGTTCCATCCAGTAGAATTTTTAGTGGATAGAACAGGTGATTTGGAATCAACGGATATGACCCGACTCCAAGATAGCTCAAGGCCAGGGAGTTGAGGGTTGGCTTCCCAGAGGAGGGGCTGTTCATGGTAATGCAGCAAGGCCTGGGGAAAAGAGAACTAACTCTGAGGATACTCCAGTGATCACAGCCTGGCTTGGCTGTGTAACCTTGGACATATTACCTCACCTCTCTACGCCTCAGTTTCCTCATCTGTAAAATGGGAATAACAACACCTACTTCGAAGGGTTGTCATGAAGACTATATGTTGTGTATGCTGAGCACTCAGGAGGTTGGGACTTGGGGACAAGGGCGGGATGGTGCGAGATGAATTTGGACGGTGAGCTCTTGCCCAATCATGAACGACCTTGAACACCAGGCTGAAGAATTCAGACCTTACCCAGTAGGGTGCGGGCCATGGAAATCATGGGAGATCACTTGGTCCCTTTCACTGATGTGCTAGGTGAACTTGAGCAACCCTATCCCTGTCCAGGTCTTGAGTATTCCAGATGTATAATGAGTGGCTGCTCCAGGTGGTGTCTAAGAGCCTTTTGCTCTGAGGCCATGAGAAATCTTCATCTTCCAGGACTCCTCTGCAGAGAGGAAAGAGGATGAGCCTCTGCATGCGTTCTGCCTCCCAGCCTCCCTGCTGCTGAGCAGTGAGCCAGCTCCTTGGACCTCCCCCCTTTGTGAAGTGGAGATAATCCCCAGGCCAAGGGCGCTTTGTATTTTCTGCACAGAGGCCTTTGCAAGCAGCATTTAAATTTCTCAGGACTCAGCCTTCAAGGCTCTGCTGAAATGCTACCTCCCTCAGGAAGCCTTCCCTGACTCCTCAACTCACTCTAGTGACTGTCTCCTCTTTCTGCATCTTTGGAGTCATTCACTGAGCCTGTGAATCTGTCAGGGTCAGCAGTCCTCTGTGTTGCTGAATCTGTACGACACGTCCAGTTCTTCCACACGGCCTCTCCACAGCCATGGGTGCAGCTGATTACTCTTGCCCTCATGAAATGCCCTTCCCTATGGACTCACACTCTTCTAACTTTTTGCCTGCTTTCTGCCCCTCCATCTTGGTCTCTCTCCTTCTACTCAACCTCCAAATGTTCAGCTTCTCCAGCCTTTTCTCATCTAATTTCATAGCTTTAACATACCACCTACAAGCCCAATGCCCCCAGATGGAGATCTCCCCAGACCTCTCCTGTGAGCTCCATACTTCATTAACCAACTGCCTATTTGACATCTCCACTTGGATGTTTCACAAACGTTTCAAGTTTTGTTTTGTTTGAGATAGGATCTTGCCCTGTCGCCCAGGCTAGAGTGCAGTGGCACAATCTCAGCTCACTGCAGCCTCGGCTTCCTGGGTTCAAGTGATCCTCCTACCTCAGCCCCCCAAGTAGCTGGGACCACAGGCACACACCACCACACCTAATTATTTTTTGTATTTTTTGTAGAGGCGGGGTCTCACCATGTTGCCCAGGCTGGTCTCAAACTCCTGAGCTCCAGCAATCCACCTGCCTCAGCCTCCCAAAGTGCGGGAATTATAGGCATGAGCCACCGTGCCCAGCCACACTTCAAGTTTAATGTCACCAACTTGAAGTTCCACCCAGAAAACTGCCTCCTTTTCCTGTTTTCTTCTTGTCTGCAAATGGCAGCTCCATCACCCAGGTCTTCCATCGGGCCTGTCATTGGCTATCCTCTTTCTCTCAACCCCACAGCCCCATCCACAGTTCCAGTGGATTCTGCCTACTCAGTCGAAGAATGGAGCTTCCTCCCAACCCTACAGGCCCGGGCACTCTCTTCTCACGTCCAGACTCCACCGCCACCTCACTGGTCTCCTCGCCTCACTTCTTGTCCCCGTCCCATCTATTCCACCCAGTGGCCAGAAGGATCTTGAGAAAAGCAGATTGGGCCCTGCCCCTCATTTACCTTCAACAGCTTCCATGACATGTAGAATCAACCTGCAGACCATTAACCTGGTCTAGGAGGCCCTGCATGATCTGCCTCGCCCACCCCACCTCATCCCATGTCACATACTCCAGTCCCACCAGCCTCAAGTTCCCTAAGCAGACCAAGCCCTTACCATCTCAGGGCCTCCACACGTGCTGTTCCTTCCTCTGGAACATGCTTCCCCAACATCTTACATCTCTTCTTCTTCCTCTTTTTTTCCATCTCAACTTGCACATCATCTTCTTAGGAAGGCCCTCCCCACCAACCCCTTCATGCCACCCTGGCTCTCCCTTACTGTACCCTGTTCCCTCCCGGCCACAGCACATATCATATGTTGTCATTCTATATGCATTCACTTGTTAACTGGTTTCTTTATCCACTGGGCTGTAAGCTTTGCAAAGTTAACGAGGCTACTCTGCCTAGATTCAACTCTGTGTTGTCAGCACCTAGCCAAGTGCCAGGCACATAGTAGGTGCTCATTAATACTGGTCAAGTGAATTAATTAATGGATCCTGCAATCATGCATTGTGCTTTCTGGACACTTGGCCCTGTGCTGGGTGCTGCAGACACAGAGATGATGGAGAGACTGTCCTGTGGTGTTCACAGACTGCTGGGGAGACTGACAGGAAAATAGACAATCACAGAACAGCTAAATAAGTGCACTGGTGGAGGAAGCCAGGACCCTTGGCAGGCAGTTCTGTCTGCCCTTTCCTGCTGACTGTCCTAACTGCCTGGGCATTGCCCCTCTCTCAGAACAGAGGCACCTTAGAGGCCATTGTATGGACCCTGGTGTCACACAGCCTGGCCTTGCTATGTATTAGCTGTGTGGCCTTGGACAAGTCACTCAAAACAAAAAAATCCTGTTCAGAAGTCAGAGGCCAGGGTCCTCGACCTGCCTCCACCACAAGCGATCATGTGATCTGAGGTGAGGCCCCCAACCCTGGGCTTCTTTACCCAGCAACGAAGGCCCGTCCAGCTCTCCACCTTCTGGCTCTCAAATGCCTGGTCTCCCTCCACCAGACTCAGTGTTCTCTTGGCTGGAAATGCATGTGATATTAAGTTGAGAAAAGCCAGGACGTGTTCATACATTTCATTTGTTTATTATAGAGTTTGGACTGGTGCAGAGCAACCGTGTCACTAAGAAATGGAACCGCTTTAACATTTTCCTATGAAGGGAAAATTAAACCTTCAGGGGGGAGATATGACGCATTTCTGAGTCCTAAAACCCCTCGTTCCTGAACTCTCCCTCCTTTGGCCTCAAACTGGCCTATTATCCATCCTGGCCAGGAGTCCATCCACACTGTCCCCTGAGCTCTTGCTCCTGGCCAGCCCAGGGCTGGGTGTCCCTGCCTTTGAGGAACAGCCACTCTGGTGTGAGGTTGTTACTCAGGGCAGAGCAAAATCACCAGAGCTGCTTTGAAAAATTCAGATGTCAGGCCTGACCCTGAGCTGACTGAGCTAGAACCCCAAAGGGTCCAAGCAGAGGTTTGCTTTCAGAGCTCCGAAAGTATTCTGAGGATTTTAAATCTCTTGATTGTCCTGGGGTCAGACCTTCTGGCTCCACAGCTTAGGAGCCCAGCAGGAGGCTGTGGTGCTCCCATCCCCAGGGGCTCCAAGCTGTGACCCAGGAAGGCAAGGGTTTTCTGCAGTGTGTCCTGGCTACAGGGCAGTAGCGGGGGAGTGGGGGGATGGGGGCAGGGGGTTACATTTGGGCTCACCAGCTTCCAGTTCCAACCATCTGCAGGTCTGGGCCTCGAAGCCTGGCTCCCATGACATCTGTTCCCACCTCCTCTCCAGGACAAACAGCCACCCTTTCCCCATGCCAAGCCCTGGAACCAGGCTGGTCACCCACTAGTCCCACAGCATGCCACAAGGGTCTATCTCCACACTCCTGCTCCTGCCCAGCCCCTGCCATGCACGCCCTCTTTTAATTCTTTTAATTTAAAGTCTCACTCTGTATTCAAGACCTAGCTCAAGGTTCTGTGTGGGAAGTCCTTCCACCTCCCCATTTGTTGGTAAAATGGATGATGATCTGTCTCCAATGCTGACGCTGTGTGTGACCTGCATGAGCTGAGTGTCGTTAGCTCAGTGACCTCACGGTCGCAGCTGGCATGCCACACAATGGGGGACAGGCATCTTTTAGTCCAGTAGTGACATCTATGTGAGCAAACCAACTAGTATCCCTATTCGGAAGAGCCACTCATCTCACTGAACAAGAAAGCCACTGTCAAGGGGTCGGGCCAGCGGCATGGCCCCCTCCGTGGGCAGGGTCGTGTGCATCTTTGTTTTTTTCTGAGATCCCAGGAGGGGATCAGGTCATTGACCCCCTTGTCTTTCACACTGACCTCTGCCTGGTACTCAGCGTGACAGATTCGTTCAGAAGTTGGAGATCTAAACAACAAGCAAAGGGAGGTGGTGAGGTGTAAAGAAGTGTGGGTGACTGCAAGGGTGGACGTGAGGGCTGAAAGGCCCCTGGGCTGCCATGGAGGGGTCACAGGCACACCTTGCTCTGGAGAAAGGAGGCCCAGTGGGAGGGCAGTGGGGCCAGCGGGGTTGGAGCTGAGTTCAGTCACTCTTCCCATAATCTGGCATCTTCCAGCTGTGGGCTCTTTTTTTTCTAGAATTTCTCCAACCCAGCCCCTGGCCCAAGTCCCTCCTCAGACATGTGTGCTTCAGTCCAACTGAGTGCAGCCCACGCTTGACCAGTGGTGGCTTCATCTGTCACAATGTGGCGGGGGAGCAGGAAGCATGGGCGGGGGTGGTTGAAATCTGCAAAGGCTACAGGGCAGGAACAGGGCTTTGGAGTCACCCTCTAGATGTGCAAATGTAAACAAGCCTTTTAGCATCTGAGCCTCAGTGTCCTTATCTATAAAGTGGGAAGAATACCTCCTTCACGAGGTTATTACGAAAAGTAAGTAAGAGAATGTACGTGAAGACCCAGCATGGCTCCTGGTACGTTATGGATGTCCCATGTTTTTCTTTTTTCTTTTTTTTTTTCTTTTTTGAGACATAGTCTCACTCTGTCACCCAGGCTGGAGTGCAGTGGCATGATCTCAGCTCACTGCAATCTCCACCTCCCGGGTTCAAGCAATTCTCCTGCCTCAGCCTCCCAAGTAGCTGGGATTACAGGCACCCGCCACCATGACCAGCAAATTTTTGAATTCTTAGTAGAGACGGGGTTTCACCATGTTGGCCAGGCTGGTCTCGAACTCCTGACCTCAGGTGATCCGCCCACCTTGGCCTCCCAAAGTGCTAGGATTACATGCGTGAGCCACCATGCCTGGCAGATGTCCCATGTTTTTCTAACTTATTAAAGCATCACCAGGCTCCTCAGATGTGTCATGAATGCTCCCCCAGCCCGTGGCCACCTCTGTCACTGCTCTCAGCAGGAAGCCCCTTGGATGGCTTCTTCCATCTTCATGGTTCTAATTAGCACCTGCAGCTCACCTGTCCCCTGCCCTGGAAAGCCACCCTTGACTGAGGCACACCCGGGTGCTCCCTCAACACTGGTACAGACCATGCAGCATGCCCTGCTTCACCTGAGTCGTGCACACCTGCACATCCACAGGGCCTCCGCAGGGGCCCTGGCCAGGTCCTGCCCACTTCTCCATGATGCACTCACCTGGCACCCAGAGCCATTCCTTGCGCCATGACAGTCAGAGCCTCCTTATCTGTCATGAATTCCTATTCTTTTTTGTTTTTAATTGAGACAGGGTCTTACTCTGTCCCTCAGGCTGGAGTGCAGTGGCATGACCACAGCTCACTGTAACTTTCAACTCCAGGGCTCAATCGATCCTCCCGACTTAGCCTCCCAATTAGCTGGGACTACAGGCACACGCCACCATGCCCAGCTAATTTTTTAAATTTTGGGTAGACATGGGGCTCTCACTATGTTGCCAAGGCTGGCCTTGAATTCCTGGGCTCGAGGCATCCTCCTGCCTTGGCCTCTCAAAGTGCTGGGATTACAGGTGTGAGTCACCGCACCCTGCCCAATTCCTATTCTTACTGCCTCTTGCTTTTCTATGCCCTTCACTCCTACAACCAAGCAGCCTTCATCAGCTTCCCATTCACACCAGCATTCCTTGCTTCAAGTAGTGCCTTCAGTTATCTCCTGGTTCTCTGTGTGTGTGTCTGTGTGTATTCGTTATCATTGCCGTGTAACAAATTATCACAAACTTAGTGACATAAACACACTTCATGGTTGCCTCAGTCCCTGGGCCAGCAGTCTGGGCGGGCTTGGCTGAGTCCTCTGCTCAGAGTCTTAGGCTGCAATCCAGGTGTCCGCTGGGCTCTGTTCTCATCCGGAGGCCCAACCAGGGAGAATCCGCCTCCATGCTCCCTCAGGCATGGACAGAAGTGATTCCCCATGGCTGCTGCCTGAGGGCCCAGCATTGACAGCTGTGCAGTGGAGCCACTCAGGTTCTAGAGGCTGCCTGCAGCTCCCCACCCAGCTGTCTCCACAGGCAGCTCACAGCATAGCACTGTAGGTCATCAAGGCCAGCAGGAAGCCCGGTCCTCACCAGTCTTCTGAGTCAAAGTCTTCTACCACATAACCACAGGGAGACATCCCACCACCTTGTTGTGTTCTCATAGAAGTCACAGGCACTGCCACACTGCGGGAGGAGGATATACCAGGGCTTGGGTCATCGGGGTGGCCTGAGGGCCTGTCCACCTCCTTCTCTCTCCTGGAACCTTCCTTCTCTCTTCCTCTGTCCCCAGAGCAGCTGGATGTCTTTCAGAAGTCACTTCTGCTCACCTCTCTCCCTGGAGCCGGCTTGGGTTGAGTGGAGCCACTGCTCAGCTTCTGTCCAAGTAGTTCATCAAGAACTTTCTTCTGAATAAGGACTGCTCCCTTACTGTAAAAATAATTCTGAAGAATATAACTCTCCCCCTTTCATCTGATTTCTCACTGCCCCATACAGGGCCTGCTACTGCCTGTGCCTGATCAATACATTTTCAATGAATAAGAAGCAGCAGAGGGCAGCGGCAGCAGAGTTCAGGGAAAGTCTCACCATCAGCATTTGTATGGGCCCTGGAGGACAGTTAGGAGCTGAACTTTAAAGATGTTTTCATATTTTAAAAAATTAGATAAAGCCCTGGCAACATAGTGAGACCCCATCTCTACAAAAAAAAAAAAAAAAAAACTTTTAAAATTAGCCAGGCATGATGGTGGGCACCTGTAGTCCTGGCTACTTGGGAGGCTGAGGTGGGAGGATCGCTTGAGCCCAGAAGGTTGAGCCTGCAGTGAGCCATGTTCATGCCATTGCACTCCAGCCTGGGCAACAAAGCAAGACCTTATCTCATAAAAAAAAAAAATTAGATAAGCAAATTACAAACATTTTGGATAACAGAGAAGAAACCATCCTCTCACTCCACATTGCTAATTCTGCCACTGTGATTTCTTCTCTACAAGGTTTGTTCTTATTCTTACTGGTGAATTCACCAGATGTGAGGTGAGGTCCTTGGCTGATGGGATCAGAAGCCCAACTGTCTGGGCCCCAGAGCTGGTTGGGCCTGTCCCCCGATGCTAGCAAGGGGCAATCAAATATGCCACATACTGATTTATTCATTCCCAGAGATCAAGACACTTGCCAGCAAGGACAGTCATATGCAGGCTCTGGCCAGAGCCTCTCTGTGGGCTTACCATGCAGGGAACCCACTGGTGAAATCTGCTTGCTGGTGGGTACATTTAGTTATTTAACTGTATAACCCGGCGTAACTCCAGGTTTGCGGTTTTCAGTTTATTTCAGCCCTCCCACCACCCCCGCCTTATAGTGGAGTCCCATCATATGTGCATTTAACTTAAGTGAATTCAATTACATGTGCTCTGAAAAAGGGAGAAAATCATTTAAATGAGACAGGAGACTCCTCCTTCCAAGGGCTCTTCCCCAGGTGAGGGCCACGAGAGAGGAGGGCCTGAATTGCCTCCACCAGCCGCTGTGCCCAGGCACCTCCTGAACAGTGAGCACCTCCCTGAAGCCAGAGAGTTTCTAGGGCCTGCAGAGGGGTGGGTGTTTTAGATCACGGCCTCTGAGTGTATGCTGATGCTCTCATCTGGTGTTTGCTTAAAGAAACAGCAACCCACTCCAAGGCTGGAAGGGAAACTGTCTTGAATGAACTTACACAAAACTATACCTCCTGGACTCTATGGGCAACTTAAGAGATTTTCAAAGGCAAAATTAATTACACTTTGTTTTTGCTTTACTGACTTGAAACTGAATACACTGAATATGGTCCTACTCCCCTGTACTAGCAGGAAGCCCAGTGTGTCCCTCTGGAGGCCTCCACCCCGTGGCCACAGTCAGCTTATTTCATTCAGTGGAAGCTTCTGGTGTAAACAGAGCTGGAACATGGGGTCCTGCCACCAGCCCTGCTGCTCTGGTTCCCTCCACGGGGTGGCCCTGTGGAACGCAGGTCCCGCACGCTCTGGTGGAAGTCTGCACACTGCCCCTTGCAGGTGCACAACGCTGCTCAGGCCACAGGGATGCCTCCAGACCCCTAGGTCCCCCCGAAGTGCTCAATAATTGTTCCTAAAGCAGCCTCAGTCATGTCCTGAGATCAGCTCCCCGGGAGTTGAGCCCCAATTCCCTTTTCCCTCCTACTGGGTTCATTTTGGAGGCCTTGAATGCCAGGCCATCTCGGCTGGGGGACTCTAGCGTACCCTGGTGCTAACTTCAAATCACAGGGAACTGGGGCTCAGGTCTTAGTCTTTTTCCTCTCAGAAGGCCCTGATCCTCTGGTGCAAATGGGCACAGTTTTCCATAACTCTGCAGATCTCAAGTTCTCAAGGAGGAGGCATTCATCAAGCCACAACAGCTCCTCCCTTCCCCTGACAGTGCTGCCTTCTCATCCGACATTTGCTGCTCAAAAGATTCTTTGCAAAATAAAATTGCCTGCAGGGGAACTTGCTCTGTCCACCCAGGAACAGAGACGCCTTGGACAAAAATTAGAAAATTCTGCCTCACATTACATTAGTATAGGAACGAATCATCTGGACGGGACCTGCATTGGGGCCCCCCTCCCATGGTTTTGCCCTCCTCAGCCGTCTTCCGTGTGCTGCCACAGTTCACTAACGCCATGCCAATTATATCTTTATTTAGAAAAGTCAAGCCTTCAGGGCCTGGGAGCCTTACTTTCCCATTCTTCCCCGAGCAGGCCACTTGTCACTACCCCAATCCTTTTTGCTTTCAACTTACAGTATAACCCAAAAAGTATCTTCCACAAAAATAAATCTGTAGCCTGCTTGCTTTGGTTTTCCCCCAATGTGATGTCATAAGAATTTCCACGCTGCACCTTCACCTTGGTGATCCTGTTTTACTCACCCACTCGGGAGGCACAGAGTTTGCAAAGTCTTTTGCCTGTCACAAGGCACTTGGGAGGCTGCTAGACTCTTGAGGGAGCTGCCCTGCCTCGGGACTGTGGTCTCACCTCGAGTTCACCCTCTTAGCCTCAGCCATAAAATAGGCACAATGCTGTCTGCTAATTTACAAAGCAGGTCCCGGCAGGTGCTCTGTGTGTGTGTTTGTGTGCCCATGTGTGTTTGTGTGTGTGGCCCATTATGGCCCCATTCCACTGAGGCTAGACTTTGCACCTCACCTTGGGAGGTCAACTGAGCCTTGTTTTCACACATCCCCAGACAAGCTTGACACAAGGAATTAGGGGTAAGTCAGACCAGCATCTGGATCCAGCTAGAGCCTCCAATTCTCCACTTGCTTTTTGCCAAACCCTTCTCTCCCCTCATTCTTCAGTTTCTTAAACCAGGCGTCCTTCAGGGGAAACTGAATCCATGTGTTTGTGATTCACTAGGGCTGTGCATGATAGAGTGTTCTGTGAGCTCCACAACATAGCAAAGACAGCCAAGCGTGGGTGTGGGTTTGTCTGTGAAGCTGTGTTGTGTGTGTGTGTGTGTGTGTGTGTGTGTGTGTGTGTGTGTTGTGTATGTATTGTTTTCCTTCCTATTTCTTGTAAGGACTTTAAACTGATTTTTCTTAGAATCAGGAAATCATGTTTGGCCAGAGAAACTCAACACTCCCTTCTCCCCTTCCTGAGGAACTCTAGTGTGGCAGAAAATTCCCAAACACCCACATTCTAACTTATTGGAAATGGGCCTGGGCCAAGCAGCCGTCAAAGTCTGGTTTGGGAGCCAGTGTGCAGGGGGCTGCCCAGACTCCCCAGGACAGGCCGTGAGCAGGAGGAGGCAGAGGAGCGGGTGGCCAGAGGGCCAAACCGGTACAGCCTGTGCTTCGGATGCTGCCCTCCGAGTCAGGGGGTAGCCACAGTTTGGCGAGCTCCACTGAACCTTCTGGTGTGAGCCCTGGGACCTGCCTTTGGCCCTTCTGCCCAGTCAGATGATTTGCCTTACTCATCAAGAGGGGAAACGTGGCCCGCTGTGGGCTGCGGGTGGGGTCAGACCTCCAGCCTGGTGACTCCGAAAAGCTCCCAGGCTTTATCCTGCACCACAGACTTCCATGCTCTCGCTCCCTTCCAGTTAGAGAATTCCTACTTGGCCTTCGAGGCTCCATCCAGCTGTGCCCTCCTCTGGGAGGCCCAGCCCGATGCCCGGAGGGCTGGCCCTGCTCTGGCGCTCAGTCACAGCTACCCCCACCCCCGGGTTGGTGTTGCTCTGCTGCTGGTCTCCCCACCCGCTGGCCAGAGCACCAGGAAGAACACAGACCCACCTCATTCCCTTCTGAGCCCCACAGCACCCAGTGCAAATGTTCAACACCGGGCAGGGTGGGCACATATCTCAGAGCCTGGGAAGGTGGGTGAGGTTTTGAAAACTGTGCTGCCGCCCTTCTCTGTGGAGAACCGCTGCACTGGAGAGAGGCCCACAGGATGGCCCCGCCTGAGCCCTGTGCGGGGCAGACTCCAGGGGCCCTGCTGGTGCAGGGAGGGGAGGCAGGAGACCTGAGTTCCCCTGACTCCTCATGATCTTTGCCACATGGGCAAGGAAGGGGTGGGGGATTCAGTTCACGTGGAGTTGGAAACTGGACCTGGCCCTGACTGCCTTAGGGAATGCAGCCTTCTTGGTGGAGAATGGTTGAGAATGGCCGGCAGTCTGACAGTGAGCTCTGAGGGCTGCAGCTGTGGCTCCTCCAGCTTCTGCTTTTGATCCAGTTCAAGCTTATCATTCTCACAGGTCCCAGTGGAGCGCCCTCTTGGCACCCAGGCCTGGGAAGGAGGGACCTTCAGAGGGCAGCAGGGCATGCCAGGGTAGCAGCACCCACCGCCCACACTCTGAGCCCCACACTCTCTCCCACCTTCCCTCCATGGAAATCAAGGTGGAGGCCAAGAGGTTTGGTCCATGTGGCTCCAGAGGGCTGGCTGGGCCCAGTGTGGCCCAATGCTCTTCCCCGGAGGCGGATTTCATTGTGACACCAGGAAGGACTTCCTAATAAGCATCACGAGCTCTTAGTGGAGGGGCTGACTCAGAAGGTAGTGAGTGCTCTGTCCTCTGAGATATGCAAGCAGAGGTGGTGGAGGAATTTCTGCCCTTGGGAGGGTGTGCTGAGACGAGATGGCCCAGACTTTAGCTGAGTGGGAGTCTGGGCATGCTGCCTTAGGCCTCAGGAGGAGTCGGCTTGAGTGTGGGGCTTTGGCAGAGCCGTCTGGGAAGCATGACTTGGAGCTGGCGCTAATGGGCATGGCACTGGCTGTCAGCTGTTGGGCCTGCCTTCTGCTCAGGGGAAAAGAAGAGTAAGCCATGATGCTCAGATGGACTGAAGGGACCCCTCTTGCCCGCAGACCCCCGAAGCCTCCTTCCTGCGGCCTGTCTGGTAGACTTCCTGCAGCTGCATCCCAGGGCCAGCTGGGGAGAGCCTCTGTGGCTAGGTCAGCCAAGGCCAGAGCCCAAGGACTTGGCTGCAGGGCTTGGGGCTCCTCACTGTCCCTCAGGTCCTCCCACTGCCAGGAGGTTGTGACTGGATGCTGTCATGCCAGCAGACTAGGGCTTGAACCCACTTATTGTGTGACTTTAGCAAGTTGCTTGCACACCTCCAGTGACTGGGAGGTCACCACTTCTCAAGGTAGTTCCTGCCAGAGCAGGACAGCTCTGCCAGAAAGTTATTCCTGGTGCTGAGCTGAGAGCCCTAGGGCTTTTCCCATCATCCCCAGCATTCCCAGGTCTGCTCCGCTCCGGACCACACAGCACCTGCCCCCCAGCCCCCCAGCTGCTCCCCGCAACCAGGCACGTGCCTCTATCACCTGCTGCCTACCCAGCTGCCCTCTACAGGACACACACACCCCGCCCCGTCCCTTTCTCAATGAGTCAAAGCAGGTCTGCAGCAGCCTCCACCAGCCCCCGGGCTTCTGAAGCCACAGGCAGGGGGCCCACCAGCCCTTTGGCAGCCCCGCGTCCCAGGTGACTCACCAGCTGGCAGCAAACAAAGCCCAAAGTCCCCTCCCCACGTGTGCAGCCACGGCTCAGCCTCCCCCTCCCACCCCGGTGTTTGTGCACTCCAAGCTGTGGAAGCCAAGTGCGGCCCAACACATGTCTGTGTTCAGGCTCATTGTGTCAGAATTGACTGCTGGGGTCTGCTTGGATTCCCAACTCCCTCATCCAGCACATTAGCTATTCCTCCCAGCTTCCTGTCCTCTACAAATCTGCTCCACATGCTGTCGGGGGCCTTGGCCAAGCCATTGATTAAAATGACCAGAAAGGAGAGGGCCGAAAGCAGAGTCCTGAAGCTGATCTCTAGACACCCTCTCTACTGCCCAGGACATTCAGCTCCTTGTCCCTTCACCAAGCCCCCATCTCTTCCCAGATTTCTGGTGCCAACTGTCTCGATGTCACACAGACACACAACACCGTGGGCATTCCCCTAAGCCCATCCGGGGACCAAGGCTGGTACTGGTGATCTGTTCTCAGGAAACCTTCAATGGCTGCTCAGTCACCTGGGCACACAAGTCGTCCTTTTCACGTCTGATCTAGAATGTCACCCTGGTTCAGCATCACACACATCAGCAACCCTGCACCCAGGCCTGTGCCAGACCTTGGGTTTTAAGGACCTAGAGCCAAACTAGACTTAGCCTTGCCTTGGAGGAGTTCCAGTCTGCTGGGACAGGTGGTCACAGACAGACAGTGAAGACAGAGGAAATTATAACAATTGAAATGCAGTGCGTACTTATCACATGCCATGTACCACTCCAACCCAAGATTTGGCCTCACAGCAAACCGGCATCATCCGCACTCATCCTCAGTGGAAACTGAGGCACACCCAGGCCCAGTCACATGCCCAAGGGCTCGCAGTGAGTGAGGGATGCTTACGGGAGCTTCCTCGCCTTGCCTAGGGCCAGGGCAGCCTTCAGAGGGCGGTGGTGCCTGAGTGGAGACTTCAGAGCTGAGCAGCATCCACAGGACAGGAAAGGAGAAGAAGGCGGGGACTGGGCTCCCGGCACTCCGTGCCAGCCCGTCCTGTGCCAGGTGCTGGGTCAGGCCCTGGGGATTCGGGTTGAGCCCACTAGCAGGGTGCTCCGTAACAAACTGGGAAGCACAGGGTGCCCTGGGGAAGTGGGTGAGATGGCTGCAGTCAGGGAAGGCTTCCCAGAGGCAGTGATGTCTAAGCTGACCCAGGGTTGGGGACATTGGGCCAGGGTTGGGGAAGGGATGGTGGATGGAGAGTTCCAGGCGGGAGGAACATCCAGTGCAAAGGTACTTCCAGGAGCAGAGTGGACGAGGAGGAGAGCGGCCCAGCCCCAGGGGACGCAGGGCAGGGAAGGAGCTGGGATGGTTGCGGAGGGCAATGGGGAGTCACCCCAAACTGGGGGAGGGGCATCCGGCAGCTGGGCAGCCTGCAGGCTCTCTTGGCTCTCTCTGTAGGGAGGTGCGACTACAACTTCGACTTCGTGGGGGCGTGGTTTCTAATCCCTCACCTTTGTAACCAGCGCTTGGCAAATGGCAGAGCTGCCCTGCACCTCCCAGTGTGAGATGGGGTCAGGAGTCCCACCTCAGGGGTTGGTGCGAGAACCAGGGGAGGGTCAGTCAGCAGCCTTTTTCTCCTTCCACCGGGAGCCTGGCAGTCTTTGCCTCCCTTCCCCCACCCCTGCAAGTGGAGCAATTACCAGATTGAGACAGGCTGGGCCTTCCCACTGCCTCTGCGGGTTAATGTCTCTAATCACTGCAATCTCTTGATCCACAATCCCTGGGCTCTGAGTGGTGGCCAGATGGCTTAGGAGGGAGTTCCAGCCTCCAGACTCCCAGAGGCTCTTCCCTGGGGCCCTCAAACACCGCAGGTGCTCCCAGGAGCACCCAGCCAAGCGTGGTGTGGGAGAGAGGTGGTTGCCTATTCTCCCCTCACCATAAATCACAGAGCCAGAAGGAATGTTTGAAGTCATCCTCATGGAACCTCCCACTCTATCTGGAAGCCTCCATCTAGCATCTCAACAGGTGGCCATCCAGGATCCACCTGGATGCCTCCAACAATGGGAAGCTCACCACCACAAATCTGAGGCTCATTACCAAGGGCAGGCTGTGAACTCCGAGATTGAACTAAAATGGCTTTACATGGGCTGGATCACATTAAAATCATAGTCAGCTGGGCTGGGTGGCTCACACCTGTAATCCCAGCACTTTGGGAGGTGAAGACAGGAGGATCATTTGGGCTCAGGAGTTCCAGACCAGATTGGGCATCATCAAGATACCCCCATCTCTACTAAAAATTTTTAAAAATTAGCCAGGCATGGTGTCGAGTGCCTGTAGTCCCAGCTACTTGGGAGGCTGATGTGAGAGAATCATTTGAGCCTAGGAGGTCAAGGCTGCAGTGAGCCATGATCGTGCCACTGAGCCCCAGCCTGGGCAACAGAGTGAAACCCTGTTTCAAAGAATTAATAAAAAATAAAATCATAGCCCAAACCAGATCTTTTCCCCCACCACCAGAGTTAAACCAGGTTTGTGCCACAGACAGGCACTGTGGGAGTGGGAACCCCACAAGGTTCTGAATCAGAAATCCCTGTTCCAATCTTGACATTATGGTTCACCAACTGGAGGGCCTGGCCAGTTGCCTCCATCTCCCTGTGCTCCATTTTCCCCATCTGTAACTCAGAACTATTGTATTGGGCTGTCCAATACAACAGCCACGAGTCAGAGGAGGCCTCTGAGACCCAAAAGCAGGCAGTGCAACTGAGGAACTGAACTTTTATTTAATTTAATTTAAAATTTAAAACCTGAAGCAATATAAATTTTTTTTTGAAACGGAGTTTCACTCTTGTTGCTCAGGATGGAGTGCAATGGCGTGGCCTCAGCTCACTGCAACCTCTGCCTCCCAGGTTCAAGCGATTCTCCTGCCTCAGCCTCCCAAGAAGCTAGGATTACAGGCATGCGCCACCACACCTGGCTAATTTTGTATTTTTAGTAGAGATGGGGCTTCACCGTGTTGGTCAGGCTGGTCTCGAACTCCTGACCTCAGGTGATCCACCTGTCTCAGCCTCCCAAAGTGCTGGGATTATAGGCATGAGCCACCGTGCCTGGCCTAAAAATTTTTATATTGATGACATATTGAAATGATAATATTTGGGATAAACTAGGTTAAATAAAGTATTAAACTTAATTTCACCAAAAAACTAATTTCACCTGTTTCTTTTTACTTTTTAATGTGACCACTAGAAAATTCTAAATTACAAATGTGGCTCGCAGTGGAACTCCACAGTGCTTCACTCAGAAGGTTAAGGATCCACTGGGCTGGGTGTTCAGGTGTCTGGGGAACAGTAAAGTCCCAGAGAGATGATGGCTTCTGAGGCTGCTGGGTCCTCCAGGAGGTGTCATCTCCATCACACAAGAAGACGGGCTCAATCTAGAAAGAATAGAGAATGTGAAGGACTATTCGAAACAAAACAAAAATTACTTATAACACCCAAAGATAATAATTACATTTCCTATAGAGTTTGCTTGTTTCCGTGCCCGTCCACGCGACCTGGTCTCCCACCACCACTGGGCACCAGCTGCAAGTTCTCAGAAAAGTCACCTTTAACAGCTTGACCTTGAAGCCTGGGACCTTGAGGAGCCTCAGCAGGGAGGAATCCCTCAAAAAGCCAAAGGGCAGGGCCTTACACCTCCTTTCTGTGCCTGTGAGCTCTGAGTGGAAGCCACGACCTCTGCATGCCCAGCTCCCATTCTTCTTGGCCTCCGCCCTCACCTGCGGTGGCCCTGGCACTCCGGGGGAGGCTGGCCTGTGCTGCCAGCTGTCACCAGCAGTTCCCGCGGCTGCTCACCTCTCCCTTCCGCCATTTGTGGGAAGGGAGGGAGGCTCCAGCACAGAACGACTTGGGTCCCAGGATTCTCTCCATTTCGTCCATGGGTGCTCTCCTGTCCAGAGCTGATGGGGGCCCCAGGGTGGGGTCAGGGATCCCTCTTGCTCTGTCTAAAACCTACACTCCCTCCCACATCTCAATCTGTCCCTGAGTTGGCGCCACCCCCGTGTTAGGCCTCTTCGTCCCCGGTGGGGGGCCTTCTGAGGGGCCTTTATCCTTTCCTGAAATCCAGTCCTCACCTGCACCCCACTCCACACAATCCCTCAGACACATCTATGTGCCTAGACTGCAAATCTGGAGGGAGTCCACCATCCCAGGAGGTTCCAGGGCTCACTGCAGAGATGCAAACAATCTGGTAACTTGCTTTTCCACTTAGCATTGATTTAGGAACACCCTTCCAGGGACACGATCACTCCGGATGGCTGCTATACCGTCCCTTCCTATCTAATCTGCATTGGTGAGTTCTTAGGTCAGGTTTTTGATCTTACAAGTACTACTTCAGTGACCCTCCCAGTACACCATGTGTACTTTGATCTTCTCAAATGGAAGGAATTTTTCGTTCTCCCTTCTAGACATCCAGCAAATTCTGCTGCCTGAGTTGTGCTGAAGTGCCACAAGGCCACCCTACTCCTGAGCTCAGCCTATCTTCTCTATCCCTTCTATCACCAATCTGTCACTAACCCTCAGATATTACCTGAGCTCGGGCCACATCGAACAGCACGGTGTCTCACACTTTCCAGCCTCCCTTCTGCCTTCCACTGTCTCACTGCTGCGCATGTCTGCCCCATCTCCAAATCCTCTCCCATTTCCAAGAGCCAGGTCAAATGCCACCTCCTCCAGGGAGCCCTTCCTGACTTTCCTAGCTCGAAGTGATTCCCCCTTCTCTGAACAAAGACAGCATTTCCTTGTCCCCGCTTCCCTTGCGGTTCTGATGCTCCCACATAGTCCAGGGGCCATTTGAGTGCACTTGTGGCCCAGTGTCCTTTCCTTCTCCCTCCCCATTCCCTGGCAGATTAGGAACTCCTTGAGGTCAGGGACAGGTTCTGATTTCTTCCTGTGGGCACAGGGCATGGCACGGAGTGGGCATGTGCGAAAGGTTTGAATGCACGTGAATGAAGGAGGACAGGCCTGGGTCTGGCCCTGAGTTCTGGCCCAGCCGGGCACTGCTGTCCTGTGTGACCTCAGGCAGGGCCTGCTCTCGGGTACATGGCTTCCCTGTGGCCTGAGGCGGCTGGACCCCACTGCGGGGGGTTCTGTCATGGTGGGAGGACTGTTTGGCCCTGGGTTGACGCACCGGCCCTGCGTGGGATAATCTCTCTTTGATGATGATTGCAGGGCAGCCCCCCATTTCCTCTGGCTGCACAATCCCATTATGAGCCCTTCAGGATTTATGTCTAAGACCCACCCTAAGCCCATCACTAACATATGGCATCCTGGCAGATGAGGATGAGCAGAGATTGTAAACACTCATTCATTCATTCACTCACTCCTTCACTCAGCAGTCTGCTACCAAACTGCGGACCCAGCATTCAATCAGAACCTGGCCCAACCCTGGAGGTGCTTCCAGTAAAGAGTCCGCAGTCCAGTGAGGTGGGGGCAGGGACAGTGGGAGGCACAGGGACTGTGGAGCCAGAGAAGGAGGCTTCACTCAGCCTGGTGGTCAGAGACGGCTTCCTGCAAGAGGGGATGCTCAAAGTGTGTCTTACCAGAAGAGTAAGCCATTGCGCCAGCGAGCAGGCAGGGCAGGGCCCTCACAGGCGGTGGCTCCCGCTGGGGGAGGGGGCCGGTGTTCACGCTCAGCCTGGGGCTGGATGCTGCTGCATGGAATCTAATGATAAGAGGAGCGTGGCTGGGGATTATCTGCTCTTGTTTACATGATTAAAACCAGACAAATACTTCTTTATCTGAAAGAATGAAAGGGCTTTGGGGAAAAATCCTTTTGTCAACAAAGCAAAGCACAAGCATTTCCTTAATTAATCTCACTTCACCCCACACCCCCCACCGTCCCACACCCCCCACAATGGCTGCAAGAAGCGTTGCTCTAGGGCTCCAGGGCTCCAGGGCTCCAGGACGCCAGTACTCTGGGGCTGACCTGCACTGGTAGGCAGAAAGCCCAGGCCAGGGTGGCTAGGGGTGGGGAGGAGCCGAGAGGAGAGAGACCCACAGCCCTCTCAACACAGCCCCCTGTGACAAGGAGCCTGGGCCCAGGCACAAACCCAAGATGTCCCCATTTTACAGATGGAGATCCTGAGGCCCAAAGATGGGGAAGTGACTTGCTTGCCTGAGGCCACACAGCCAGTTGGCAGAGCTGGGACTAGGACCTGGGTCACCAGCCCCCAGCCCAGCGCTCTCACTCACTCCTCATTAGCTCGTCCAGGAGCCCGCAGGAACCGCCTGCGGTGCCGTCCTCTCGGGACCCACAGGGAAGTCAGACTCATCCCTCCTCTCACAAACAGACAGGCAGCGTCCTGATGGAGCAGCCAGGGGCTGTGGGGGTCCTAGAATGGGCTCCTCACTCTGGGGGAGAGGCAGGTAGATCTCAGAGGTAGACCAAGCTTGGTCCTGCCTGGCTGGGCAGGGGTCAGGAGAGTGAAGGAAGCTTCTGAGAGGACACCAAGCATGGGAAACTTGAGGCAACAAAGTAAAGCACACGCATTTCCTTAATTAATCTCTCACTCCCCCAACAGTGTCCCCACCATCCCACAGCCACCCTGGCCTGGGCTCTCTGCCTAGCAGTGCAGAGGTCTCAAGGCACAGATGTGTGTGGCCTGCGCCCCGGGGCGTGGGGGAGAGGGCAGAGCAGAAAGAGAGGCTGGAAGGAGCACAGGACTGGATTGTTGGAAGAATGGGGTTCCCTGGAGCACTGTGAGGCAGCTGGACATGGCCAGGAGGGGCTGAGTGAGCGCTGAGTGCCAGCCAGGCCCTGGCCTCCCCACCACAGCCCCTGACCCCCTCGCCCTCCCAGCTTGATGTCCGGACTTGCCTCCCTGGATGCCAAGACCTCTAGCCGCCTGGGCGTCCTCACCGTGGCGTACTACCTGTGGACCACCTTCATGGCTGTCATCGTGGGCATCTTCATGGTCTCCATCATCCACCCAGGCAGCGCGGCCCAGAAGGAGACCACGGAGCAGAGTGGGAAGCCCATCATGAGCTCAGCCGATGCCCTGTTGGACCTCATCCGGTAACTATTGCCACCCACACCCCGCTTGGGAACGCCAGGCCCGAGCCTGCCCTGCCAGGTCCCCCAGAGGCCAGGACGGGGTGTGGAGATGGGGGTGATCACGGAGTCCATGATCACCCTGGTGGGTTGAGCTCTGGGCTGCCCGCTGGGCTCATGCTGCATCGTCTGCCCCACCAGGCTAGAAGCACCTTGCAGCCTGGACGGGGTCTGCCCCTCTCTGCCTGTGGATGGGCGCAGAGCAGACATCTGTGAGCATTTGCTGATGCCCAGCCTGTAGGGTGGGAGGCTGGCTGTTATTGGCCCCTCCCTTTGTTTATTGGTCCTCTTTTTACAGATGAGGAAATGGGGCTCAAAAAGGTGCCGTGACTTTTCCAGAGTCACCGGTAGGTAGGTAGTGGAGACAGGATTCAACCTAGTCCTGTCTGACTCCAAGGACAATGCCCTTTGCCCTGTGGTGCCACCCCCTAGCAATGGCAGTGCCACATCCTAGCCACAGCAGTGCAGCTAACCTTGCTTCTCAGACCTAGGCTCCCTCTCCAGGGAAGCACTGCAGACCCAGCGGCACAGCCACCTTCCACTCCCTTTCCCCGGGTCCCCTGCAGGTCACCCCTGCTCCTGTCCTTCGTGCATTCGCTCCCTCACCAGTGCCAGTTCTGTGCCAGGCCCTGGACCAGGGGACTCAGAGCCAGCCCTTGCCCTGGAGGAGTGGTCAGACCCACGAGCAGACAGGGACAACATGGGGGCCTGGGGCTGCAATGGGGAAGCTGGGGCTGCCGGTGAGAGCAGGAAGCCACTGCCCTTCTAAGGGAGGGGAAGATGGGGAGGCAGGGAGGGCAGGCCTGGGGGCGATAGCTGTGCGAAGGTCCTGAGCTGCAGGGAACCGTCTGCGGGGAGAAGGCATAGCACCATCAGTGTGACACAGCAGAAGGGGTGAGAGGCAGGCAGAAACCCCTGCTGGAGAATTCAGGTGGGGACCGGCCTCAAAGTGCACCGTGAACCAGGCCAAAAGCTAAGTTGCATCCTAAAGGCCACAGAAAATGAGTTTTATACAGAGAAGCGGCATGATCCAATTCAGAAGGTTCAATCTGACCAGGGATCAGAGTTGCAGGGGAGGTAGGAGGGGAAGGCAGAGCCAGGGACAGGGCCAAGTGGTGGCCCTGGGGATGGGGAAGGGGGCAGATGGCAGGGCTGCTCAGGAGGGATCCTTAGCAGGAGGTGGGTGAGTAGGAGGTGAGGTGTGCTGATCACCCAGCATGAAGATTTCTGGCCCACGCATCCAAGTGGATGGTGGTGTGGTCACCAAGCGATGGATGGTCTGGAGCAGGTGCAGGCATCCTGGGGTAGGTGTCAACTGATGGTTGGCCAGTGGATGAGAATCTCATGGGGGAGTCTAAGCTGGAGACGGAGGTTTGGAAATCGCCAGGGAGAGGTGTTAGGTGCTACCCTAGTGGCAGAGGGGCTCTTGCAGGACAGGTGGTGAGAGAGCAGGGATTGGGATGGAGCCTGGGAAGCCCCACCCAGGAATGGTGTGCTGGGCTCCACAGGCTACCCCACTAAGCCCGCTCAGGGAACACCTTCTAGTACCTCTCACTTCCTGGTCAATTTCAGATCTAAGAAGTCTAGGCCTAACATTAAAACTCCAAACTCCTGCAGTTTAAACTAAGCCTGTCTTAGCCTTTTGGATCTGACTCAGACTGGGAAAGCTGCAGTGGGAAGAGGGTCGTGGTGAGTTTGTTTCTCTTTCCTGCTCTGCCTGCTCCCTGGTGAGAGGTGAGGGAGTGGGCTAGGAAGGGCTGCCCAGACTGGGAGAGGGGTGAGCTGGAGCAGGTGCTCCCTCGTTGTGTCTCTCCAGGACTACTTCTATGGGTTCTCTGGAGCCCCTCTTCTCTCTCGCATCTCTCACCTGCTGTCCCCTGGACTCAGGCAATTTATTCCATCTGGCTACTTACAACATCCCCTAGACCAGGGCTCTGGTTGACTCCTCTGCTGGGGTCACCTCACCCCTCTGGGTGACCCTGTTGGGTCATGTCTGGCCCATGGGAAGCATACATATCCCTATTGGAAGTGCTGGCCTTTCCCAGGGCCTTTGGACATGAGTCAGGCACCAGCCCCTACATTCCTCAAATTCTAAGAGACTCAAGCCAAGGTCTCTGAATAGTTCTCTTGGCTTAAGGTTGTGGAGAAGCATTCCTTTCCTCCCCCGTGGGGATAGATGCCCATACACAGGCTCCCACCCACTGTCTAAAGAAACTCTCGTTCCCTGTATCAGCTAGTTACTGCTGCATAACAAACCAACCCAACATTTATCAGCTTAAAACAACAGCCACAAGTCTATAGGTCAGCTGGAAAGTTCTGCTGGTTTGGACTGAGCTCACTCACATGTCTGCAGGCAGCTGGTGGCTCAACTGGGGAACAGTTGGTCTAGGGGAGTCTGGCTGAGATGATTCAGCTATACTCTGTGATCTTTGTACTCCAGCAGGCCAGCCTAGATTTGTTTCATGGTGGCGACAGGATTCCAGGAGAGAGCTAGCCCAGGCATTTTTTTTAATAACAAAGGTAGAGGAGCAAGAGAGGAAATCAAAACATGCAAATGTTTCTCAAGCCTCTGCTTTCAGCAAGTCCACTAATACCCTCTTGGCCAAAGCAAGTCAGGTGGCCAAGCCCAGACTCAGGGTGGGAAGGGACCACAATGTTACAAGGGAAATGGAGTCTACAAACCGAGGCCATCGATGCAATCAGTCTACCACTCCCTTCATTTCTCCAGGAAGATCTTCAGCTTCTCTTTTACCCTTTAGAGTGTGTGATGAACTAAGGATCATCAAATATTTGCCATGCTGTTCCTATCGCGTGGCTGTCACCTATAGGGTCTGGAGCCAGAAAGAGATCCAGGCAGGGTCTGTTCTGTGTTTGCTTACTTGGCTGGCAAGACTTCATCCAATACCAGGGCTTTGAACACCTTCTGGACTCTGGCACTTCCGAATTTAGTCTCCAGCCTGGAAAACTCTCACCTGAGTTCCAGATTCTCACATAAAGTGTCTAGAGGTATCTCAAAATTAACAGGCCCAAGCTCAACTCTTGATTTCTCCATAAATCTGCCCTTTTCTCGCCCTGCCCATCTTGGTCTGACATCTCTCATTCTCTCATACCCTGCAGCCAGTTCCTCAGCAAATTCTGTGAGCTCTACCTTGAAAACCAAATCCCAAGCCATGGCCCTTCCACCTCCCCTGCCACTCCCGCCATTGCCGCCCACTCCAGTGTCTGGCCTGGCCTCCGCTTCCTCTCTGCTTCCTGTCCTCTGTTCTCAGCACTGCAGCCAGAGGCATCCTTTTCAAAACCTGCTCTCAACCCAGCACATGGCAACAAAGTCGTAGCCTGCACCGCAGCTTACAGGCACTTGCTGACACACATCAGACTCTGACCTCCGCCCCAACTCTCCCTTTCCCTGCCCTGGCTCCAGCCCCACCCGCCTCGTTGTCCTTCCTGTCTGGGTGTCATTGCCTCCTCTCTGGGTGGCCCTCCCTGCAGAAAGCATGCAGCTCCTTCCCTCACTCCATTTACATCTCTCCTGGGTGTCGCCTCTCCTGAGACCTCCCAGGCTCTGCCTCTCTGTTGTCTTCTCTTGAGTCACTTCTCCTCATAGCCTTTCTTACTACCCAACATGATCATATCTACGTGTTTCTTTTCCTCCCACATCCACTGGAATGTAATATGCCCTGTGAAGCCTGGCTCTTTAACCTCCGTTCCCTGCTGTATCCTGGAGCCTAGGACAGCACCTGGCACCGAGTGGGTGCGCAGAGTTTGCTGAATGCACACGTGGGGTTTAAGGTCATCAGTGGCATTGGGGTCTGATCCCCAGGAGGAACTGGAATGGTCCAGGGAGAATGTGCCCAGCAAGCAGGTGCAGAGGCCTAGGACGGGCCTTGGCTCACGGCCGCACTGTGGGCTTTGCACAGCAAACAGAGCAGGGGCAAGCAGAGAGGCAGGAGGAGAACTAGGAGAGTGAACATCCTAAAGACGAGGAAAGAGGAACTTCAAGAAACCTCATTTGTAAGATCTGTTATTTCTAGGATCTGGTAACTGTGATTCATGGTTTCTTGGGTCTTATGATTCAGAACGGCTTCTCCACATGGTGGAAGGAGGTATCGGTGCTGCCTCCTTCACCACTGCCTGCCCTTACTCAGGGGCTGCGGGGCTCCAGATCAGAAACACGTGCCACAGTCAAATGTTCCAGAGTGTTTCCTGCTCTTGGGTTGCTTTTCACGTGGTGAAAACTGATCCTGCTGCTTAGAGCCGCACCCCCCACGCCCCAGCCCTACCCCACCCGCTCTCAACCCAGAGGCAAGTTGTTCTGCAAAGCTGGGTGTTGGGCCTCGCTCTCACCGTTTCTTGGTCAGAGAGCGGGGCTACAGGGAGAGAACACAGGCGTCCTGGGACAGGAAACCAGAACCTAGGAGACCTGTGGCCTCATCTCCACTCTGATAATAATAAGTTACTGTGTGGCCCTGGGCAGGCCAGTTCCCCTCTCCAGGCCTCAGTTTCCCCAGTGATTTTCAAGATCCCGTCTAGCTCTGTGGTTCTGAAACACAAAGGCCTATGAGCCAGTGAGGAGGCTGCAGGGCATGAACCAAAGCTTCTGGAGGTGGGTTCTGGGAGATGAGGTTGGGAGGGCTGGGCAGAGCCCAACCTTGAAGACAGGAGGCCCAGGTTGAGGGGCTGGCTGTTAGGCTTTGGGAATGGGAAGCTGGTGGGTTTGGGAAGGATGGATTAGAGCAGGGTGGAGTGGACAGAAGGTGAGCAGAGGCATGGATGGGGTGCCCTGGGAGGAGCACAGTCACTTCCTTTCCATTCAGCTCCGCTGTATTCAGCTGCTGCTCTGGGTGAAGACATTGTGCTGGGAGCTGGGAAGCAAGTACAAATGCCCCTCACGCCCCCACCCCAGGGCTGCCCACCATCTTAGGACAGACGGACAAGTGGGTGCACTGACAGCCACTCCTGATGCTCTGAGAGGCTGTGAAGGAGATGGGGACACTGGCAGTGAGGGACCAGGGGCCTCCTGACCCTTGCCCTGGCCCAGAACAGGTGCCTACCAGGTGCTGAAGACTGAACAAAAACACTGATGACCAGGAAGAGAACTGAGAACCAGGGCAAGTGGGACAAATGGAAAGTGGGAGCCCACTGCGTGGGGACATAAGGCACACCACAGGGGCAAAGATCTGCATCCTTGTCTCAAAGATGACTCCAGAGGAACACAACAGGCCATGTCCCTGGATGACCCTCCAAGACAGGAATTCATTTTCCAGGGCTCCGGGGGGCCGCTCCAGAAGGCTGGCGCCTGCTCACAGTGCAGCACGCAAAACAGAAACCCAAGCAGAGCACTAATCAGGTCTGGCCCCTTCTCTTTTTTTTCGAATCTTATTAAAACACCACAGAGATTAAGTAATGACTGGGCTCTATTTATAGCTCCCAACTACCCTCTCAGGGATTGGAGGAAGCTTCCAGGAGCTGTGCTTGGGAAGGAACAATTCCCACCTTTAGGGCTTGGTTTGGGGACATGTTATTAGGGGTGGGTTTGGAAGCATCTCGGTGAGAATTTGCAAGTAGCAGGTGAAGAGGGGAGCTGAGAGGTGGACTCTGGCTCTGCCTAGAAAACGTGCAGGGAGGCACAGGGCAGAGTGTGTGGGTATTTGATAGGCATGGCTATTAACGTCCCCAGGCACGTTCTGTGTTTTATGTAGCTGCCACCAGGAGCACGGACCTCATGGGACAAGCAGAAAAGTCTTCCCGTGAAGGCTCAAAGCCAAAAGAAAATGTACATTTCCCCATTTAATAATCAAAGGTATAATTCTTGATTAAAATCTGCAGGATAAATTCATTGGTTATTAGTATGAGCACACACGAGTCAGGACTTGCTTTTGGCTGCCAGATCAGCAGAGGCTTAAGTAAGGTAAGGTTTGCATTTGTTCCTGAAGAACAGTCCAGAAGTGGGAGGTGGGCAGCTGGCAGTCACCAGGGTCCCAGGCCCTGCCCTCCTGTGTGCCGTGCCATGCTTAGCACCTGGCTTTCATCTGAGTCTCATGGTCCATGAAGGTTGCTCAAGCTCTAGCTATTATCCCCATGTTCCAGGCAGAAAGAAGAAAGTTGGAGGAACGGACCAAAGGGTCCTGGCTGAATGGGCACCTCCTTAAGAGTTTTCCAGGAATCACCACCCAACGACTTCCACTCACCTCTCGATGGCCACCCCATTAGCAAGAGAATCAGAGCTTGATGGCAGGTCCCATTTGGTCCCCACAACATAATAGGACTTCTGTTAAGGAAGGACGGGAGAATGGAGACTGCATAGGCAACTAGCTGTCCCTGCCAAGGCCCACATTTAAAATGATTGTAATTGTAAAGGAAGTTGTAAAGAAATGTCTATATAGGTATAAGTTCCATTTGGCTTCTTACGAGCTTCCAAATGTTCTCCGTGTGTGTAAACTGAGTCTTGAAAGAGGGGAAGAGGGTTACCGAGGACAAGAGTGAGTGGGAGGCGACCCAGGTGGAGGCAGTGTGAGTGTGGGGCGGCAGGTTGGAGGAAGAGCAGGCATGCAACGGAAGCCTCTTACCAGATGCTCACCTCAGAGTTGGCATTTCTCACAAGACACACTCCTAGAAGGGGACTGTGAAGACAAAGATACAAATGCTTTTAGAGAAAGGTTGCTGCCAGGACCATGTGAGGGTGCCCATCTCACCAAACCTCCCACATTGTGCACTGTCATTTGAAAAATACTTTGTCAGTTTGACAGGTGGAAATATCTTGAATTTGTTGATGAAACTAAACATTTTAAAAAGCATTTTTGGCCACTGACTTTTCTTCTTTTGTAACACGAATTGCCTGGTAGTATCTTTCCATCGTTTTCCTGTCGGGTTTTTGTGGTCTATTGGTTTACGCAGCAAATATTTACTGAGTGCTTGGTATGTGCCGGGAACTCTTCCCGGGGCTGGAGACACAACAGTGAACAAACACAGAGCTTCCGCCCTCCAGGGAGCTGATATTCTGATGAGAGGAGATAGTGAAGGTAGAAACCAGGCCAAGATTTGTAAAAGCTCTTAGTAGATTTAGGATGGTAGTGCTTGGTCACGCAGTCTCTCCAGCTCGTCACTTGCTTTGTGGTTTTATTTGTATTGCAATCTGTCTTAGCTTCTCAAGCATTCAGCTTTCCATTTTAGCATAGTTTTAGGTTTACGGAAAAGTTGTAGACAGTACAGAGAGATCCCACACACCCTTCACCTGGCCTCCCCTGATGTTAGCGGTTTACATAACTAGGGTACGTTAGTCAAAACTGAGAAATTAAATTGGTACAACACTATTAACTAAGTTACGGATCTCGTTTGGATTCCATCAGTTTTTCCACGAATGTCCTTTTTCTCTGTTGCAGGATCCAATCCAGGATGCTATGTTGCGCTTAGGGATTTCTTTATTTTCATGTAGTAAAATCTATTGATTTATTGCTCATTTTGTTCTTAGAGAGTCATTTCCTATACTGAGACATGATAAGATCTCAACCTATATTTCTTCTAGCTTTTTATGGTTTCTTTGCCTTTTTTTTTTTTTTTTTTTTTTTTTTAGTCAGAGTCTCACTCTGTCCCCAGGCTGGAGTGCAGTGGTGCGATCTCAGCTCCCTGCAACCTCCGCCTCCCGGGTTCAAGCAATTCTGCAGCCTCAGCCTCCTGAGTAGCTGGGACTACAGGCGAGCACCACCACACTCAGCTAATTTTTGTATTTTTTAGTAGAGACGGGGTTTCGCCATGTTGGCCAGGCTGGTCTCAAACTCCTGACCTCAGGTGATGTGCCCACCTTGGCCTCCCAAAGTGCTGGGATTACAGGCATGAACTACTGTGCCCAGCTGGTTTCATTTTTCAAAGACTTATTTATTTCTTTAAACCTTTTGGAATTTATTTTGGTGTAAGCATCTAACATCTATTTTTTCCAAACCGTTGGTCAGCTGCACAGCATTCTATAATGAATCCTTCGTTTCCTCACTGATTTGTGAAACAACTTTTATCAAGTACGAAACACTTAGAGGTGCTAGTTTCTGTTTCTAGGCTACAGCTTACATGGACTTTTCCATCGACTGCTGTGTCAGTATCACAGTTTGACAGTTACTTTTTTTTTTTTTTTGAGACGGTGTCTTGCTCTGCCGCCCAGGCTGGGGTGCAGTGGCGCGATCTCGGCTCACTGCAAGCTCCGCCGGGTTCACGCCATTCTCCTGCCTCAGCCTCCTGAGTAGCTGGGACTACAGGCACCCGCCACCGTGCCCAGCTAATTTTTTGTATTTTTAGTAGAGACGGGGTTTCACCGTGGACTCGATCTCCGACCTCGTGATCCGCCCGCCTTGGCCTCCCAAAGTGCTGGGATTACAGGCGTGAGCCACCGTTTTTTATCTAGTAGGAAAGACTCCTCCACCTTTAGCTTTATAATAAAATATGTTACTAAGAATAATGAGCCCACCTATGTGCGAGGTCCCGTGTTAGGCCCCACAGATAGGACATGAACAACCAAGTCCCACCTGCAAGGCGGCCACTATATGGGGGAGGCAGACAGGTGAGCCAGTGACCGCACGGTGGTGTGGCGGAGCAGCAGCGACCTACACACAGAAGGGCCGCAGGGTCTCGTGGGGCAGTCAGGGAGGGCTGGACAGAGGAAGAGGTGCTTGATCTGTGGTAGATTTGAGTAGTTCACCAGACCAAGAGGCAGGCAGGGCATTCCGGGCAGAGGGAACAGTGTAGACAAATGCCTGGCTCTGGAAAGTATGTGGCACAGTCTGGGGGCGGCAGGTGCTGGCGCTGTGGAGTGTCCATGATGTAGTGGGTGAGACTGCAGAGGAGGCTGGCCTGAGGAAGGCCCGACCACCAAAGGAGATGTCCAGATGACCCCAAGGCCACAACCCCCAGGGCCCTCCTGTCCTGGGCTCTGGAATTTTTCAATTGCTGATTCTCTTCCTAGGAACATGTTCCCAGCCAACCTAGTAGAAGCCACATTCAAACAGGTGAGTGAGTCTCTGGGCAGTGGAGGGGAGGGAAGGGGCAGCAGGCAGGAGGGCAGGCAGCAGGGCTAGTGGCATGGCTGGGAAGTGACAGGTGTGCTGGCCAGTCACGCTGTCTGCTGGAGGTGGGATGCTAGAGGGGAGGGTACGCTGGGGAACCTAGATCCTTAGAGACCCCCATGGCCACATCCCTGTCCTGGGTTCCAGTTTTCATGATGAAAAAGTGTGGGGGTGGAGAGAAGCCTTCACTGAGTGCCTGCTCTGCTTCCACATACACCATCTCGCCCATCCACACAGTAACTCGGCACTGAGGTAGGATGAGCCCCACTTCCTGAAGAGGAAACTGAGGCTCCGAGGAGTCAATGATTTGCCCAAGGTTATACCACTAGTAAATGACAAAGCCAGTAGGTAAACCCAGGCCTATCTTCTTAGCCTGTTTTCTCTTTCTTTTTAAAGTAATCATTTTTCCCCTAACAAGAATAATAATGATGTTCACTGTAGAAAATTAGGAAAATACCAAACAATATAAAGTAGAAAACAAAAATCATCTCTAGTTCTAGTACATAGTCCCTGGTAGCAGAGGATATATTTCTGGTCTTTTTTCTTCTGCTTATTTTTAAATAATATTATAATCATAGTGCATATACAGTTTTCATCTTGCTTTTTTTCACTTCCATTATATCCTGAGCATTTTCCCCGGTTATGAAATATTTCTTAAAAGTACAATGTTTAGTGGTACTACAATGGCCTGTGATAAGGCTGCGCTGTAATTTATTTCCCACTCCCCCTTTCAGTGTTCCCTTAGGTTGTTTTCAAAGTTTTTCCTTCGTCGAAATTGTGGTGAATGTCCTTGTGCTCAGTCTTTGCCTGCCCTTTGAATAATTTCCAATTCTTTTTCCCTTTCTAAACTGTCAGCTGGTTGGTTGACTTAATCCAGCAAGGGTTTCCTGAACCCCTTTCCTGGGCTGGGCCCTGTGTTGAGCCTGGGGACACAAAGGAAGTGGCTGAGGTATAGAGAGGAGGCTTCTGAATAGGGAGCTGTGAAAGCTTTGGCATATCGCCGCGTCTCTCCTGACATCCATGAAATAAGCCAGATTGTGAAGGGGACTGAATGCTAGGCTAGGGAGTTTCTATTGTAATTGGGAATCATTGAGGGTGTGAGAGATAAAGAGAAAGAATGTTGCTCTACTCTGTAACTCTCTGGAATGCCCTTTCTCTTTTGGCAAACTCCTACCCATCCTTCAGGACTCAAGTCAAATGTCCCCTTCTTTGTGAAGCTAACTCTTTCAGCCAATTAGTCACTCCCTCCGCAAGGCAGAAATCATGTCAGGTTCATTTGTGTATCTCCAGCAACCAGCACAGAGTGTTCAACGTGATGATGACGATGATGGTAGCAGTAATGCTTCCATGGGGCTTAACATGTACCAGGAACTGTTGTAAGCACTTTATATACATCGTCTCATTTCATTTCATGCAGTAGATGCTATCACGGTCCCATTTTACAGAGGAGGAAAAGGAAGCAGAGACTTCAGGTCTCATATGTTTCCTGAGTGGTTGGCCTTATCGATGCAGTGATGTTTGAGGGGAGAGGAGGCTCCCTTTTTGGGCTCCCAGTACCTGAGGGATGATGGGGTGAGACCCATGAATGCTCTGGGGGCAGAGAGGGAAAGGTACGTGGCTCAGGAAGGTCATTTTCTTGTGCATGGGCTTCATCTCATTAACAAGGCTTGGGGCAGGCTATGCTTCTTCAAAAAGAAGGTCCAAGTTTCCACCTGGTGGGCAGCAGGGCCAGCAGGCCACCAGGTGGATGGATACTGGATGATTGGGAGGGGACAGATGGGTGGATAAAGGGTTACTTGGGTGGATAAGGGGCTGGGCAGGCAGTTAAGAGGGACCCAGATGGGGTGATGAGGTATAGAAGTAAGAAGAGGAATGAAGGCAGGAGGCAGCGTGGCTGGGTGGTGTGGTGGTAGAGGAAGGAGTTGCAGCTTTCTTTGGGTAAAATATTGATAGCAATCCCTGCTCTGCCTGCCTCACAGGGTTACTGTCAATCAAATAGGATAGGAATGGATACAAATGTGCCTTCAAGATGCTATTATTGTTGTCGTTAATATTAGTAACAACCCTTGGCCCTGACTTCTCTCTGGGTGGGGTGTCACCCACCAGTACCGCACCAAGACCACCCCAGTTGTCAAGTCCCCCAAGGTGGCACCAGAGGAGGCCCCTCCTCGGCGGATCCTCATCTACGGGGTCCAGGAGGAGAATGGCTCCCATGTGCAGAACTTCGCCCTGGACCTGACCCCGCCGCCCGAGGTCGTTTACAAGTCAGAGCCGGGCACCAGCGATGGCATGAATGTGCTGGGCATCGTCTTCTTCTCTGCCACCATGGGTATGTGCTGCCCACCTGCCCAGCAGTGCCGTGGAGCCGGGCCCCCAGCCCCTCCCAGCAGCCTGCTCCTCCACCTCTTACTGAGGTCTGGGGAGAATGCTGGAGAGGTTTACTGTGAAAAACTGGAAATATTCACCACACCTGTTTATTTAAATCCTTCGCCTCCCCACCCCACCCCAGGGGCTTCCCCCTGGCACCTCCCCCTCAGGCCCGTCTGGGCCATTTCTTAGGCCCGCAGCTGGCATCCCTGCCACACCCTTCCCTTTGCTGCCCTCCTCTGGGATGCCAGGCCCCTCACCTATGCAAGCCCCTTGGAGGCCCGCACCTTGGTTTTTAAATTTTGTGTTATTTTTCTTAAAGATGGGTCCCAAATTATACAAGCTTCAGACCCCACAAAGCCTGTGGAAATGTCCTGCCTGCCATCCCCGACTCCTCCACTGGGTTTTCTTGTCAAGGAAAAGACCTCACCAACCTCGTTCATGCAAAAACTCTAGGGGTGACTTTCTACCTCGTCCTCTGCCTTGGCCCCCACCTTTGCATCCGGTCGGGTCTGCCCCCAAAGTCCCCTCCAAGCCGTGCGTTTCCTTCTACCCCGCGTCACTGCCCGGGTCAAGGCCGTGTGGTCTCTCGCCTGGTTCCTGTGAAAGCTGCCTAGAAAACTTCCACGGCTGTCCCTGCTGGTGTGTCCAGCTCAGGAGGTCACAAGTCTGACCGTGCTCTGCCCATTGCCCCTGGAAAGGGGCCGAACCCCTAGTGCCGGCTGAAAAGCCCCGTGAGACTGGCCCGTGTGCTCCTCTCCGCACAACCCTCAGCCCGGCTGCTCTTGCCACTCCCCCTCCACGTTTGTCATCTTCAGGGTGCTCCCCACAAGTGCCATGCCCTCAGGAGAGTCCTCCGCAGACTAGGCCGAGTGCCCCGAGCTACACTGCCTGGTTACTCTGTGAGCACTAGACTCGATTGCAAGGATATCATTGCTTGCTGTCTGCACAGCCATGACCAGCCCCATACAGGCTGACGGGCTTGTCTCCATCCACCCCAGAGCCCACCGCTGCCGTGGCTACAGCAGGCACTCAGCAGACCTGGTAGGGAGATGGGTGGACGGCTGGGTGACAATGGGTAATGGAGCTCTTCTCATCTGGGCCAAAACGCCAGGTGTGCAGAGGGGCCGGGGCCTCGGTGACCCAAGTGTGTGAAACGAAAATGTCTGAAAGTGCCTCTCGGCACATCTGACAAGCAGTCCCCAAACTCAGCCTTTCTCAGGGCTGGGAACATAAGAGAAGGGCATCTACTGGCAGAACAAAAGAACCGGAGACCCTTGGACTCAACTCGCTGAGCGTTCGCTGCGCATGTGTAACTGTCCGTGCATCTGTGAACATTTGTGTGAGTGTACTGAGGCAGGTCGTATGAGGGTACCGAGGCAGGGCGTGTGAGTGTACTGAGGTGGGACATGTGAGTGTACCAAGACAAAGAGTGTGAGTGTACCGAGGCGGGCGTGTGAGTGTACTGAGTGTGCGTGTGAGTGTACCGAGGCGGTGTGTAAGTGTACCAAGGTAGGGTGTGTGAGTGTACCGAGGCAGGGTGTGTGAGTGTACTGAGGCAGGGTGTATGAGTGTACTGACACTGTGTGAGTGTACCAAGCTGGTGTGAGTGTACCGAGACATGGTTTGTGAGTGTACCAAGATGAGGAGTGTGAGTGTACCGAGGCAAGGTGTGTGAGTGTACTGAGGTGGGGTGTGTGAGTGTACTGAGGCGGGTTGTGTGAGTGTACCGAGTAGGCATGGGTGTACCGAGGCAGGGTGAGTGAGTGTGACGAGTCAGGGTGAGTGTACTGAGGCAGGGTGTGTGAGTGTACCGAGGTGGTGTGTGTGGGTGTTTCGAGGTGGTGTGAGTGTACCGTTGTGAGATGTGTGAGTGTCCTGAGGCAGTGTGAGTGTAACAAGGCAGTGTGTGTGAGTGTAATGGGGCAGTGTGTGTGAGTGTACCAAAGCGGGGTGTGCGAGTGTACCGAGGAGGGGTGTGTGAGTGTACCGAGGTGGGGTGTGCGAGTGTACCGAGGTGGGGTGTGCGAGTGTACCGAGGTGGGGTGTGTGAGTGTACCGAGGCAGTGCGTGTGGGTATGTGAGTGTACCAAGGCAGTGTGAGAGTACCAAGACGATTTGTGTGAGTGTTCCGAGGCAGGGTGTGTAAGTGTACTGAGGCGGGGTGTGTGAGTGTACTGCGGCAGTGTGTGTGAGTGTAACGAGGTGGTGTGTGTGAGTGTACCAAGGTGGTGTGTGTGAGTGTACCGAGGCGGGTTTTGTGAATGTACCAAGGTGGGGTGTGTGAGTGGACAAAGGCAGGGTATCTGAGTGGACTGAGGTGGTGTGTGTGAGTGGACCAAGGTGCGGTGTGGGAGTGTACCGGTGCAGGGTGTGTGAGTGGACTGAGGTGGGGTGTGTGAATGTATTGAGGCAGTCTGAGTGTACCAAGGCAAAGTGTGTGAGTGTACTGAGGCGGGGTATGGCAGTGTACCGAGGTGATGTGAGTGTACTGAGGCGGGTGTGTGAGCGTACTGAAGCAAAGTGTGTGAGTATACCAAGGCAGTGTGTGAGTGTACCAAGGCAATGTGTGTGAGTGTACCGAGGTGGTATGTATGAGTGTACACAGGCAAGGCATGTGAGTGTACCGAGGCAAGTCGTGTGAGTGTACCGAGGAAAGGTGTGTGAGTGTACCGAGACGGGTTGTGTGAGTGTACCGAGGCAGGTTGTGTGAGTGTACTGAGGTGGTATGTGTATGTGTATTGAGGCAGTGTGTGTGAGTATACCAAGGTTGGGTGTGCGAGTGTACCGAGGTGGTGTGTGTGAATGTACCGAGGCAGCGTTTGTGAGTGCACCAAGGCAGTGTGTATGAGTGGACCGAGGTGGGACGTGTGAGTGTACTGAAACAAGACGTGTGAGTGTACTGAGGCGGGGTGTGTGAGTGTACCGAGGTGGGGCGTGTGAGTGTACTGAGTTGGGTTGTGTGAGTGTACTGAGGCGGGGTGTGTATGTGTACTGAGGCGGTGTGTGTGAGTGTACCAAGGTTGGGTGTGCAAGTGTACCGAGGCGGTGCGTGTGAGTGTAGCGAGGCAGGTTGTATGAGTGTACCAAGGTGGGGTGTGTGAGTATACCAAGGTGGGGTGTGTGAATGTACTGAGGTGGTGTGTGTGGGTGTATGTGGATGTGTGAGTGTTCTGAGGCGGGGTGTATGAGTGTGTCGAGGTGGTGTATGTGAAGGTATCAAGGTGGGGGTGTGTGAGTGTACAGAGAGGCAAGGTGTGTGTGTACCAAGGTGGTGTGAGTGTACCAAGACAAGGTGTGTGAGTGTACTCAGATGGAGTGTGTGAGTGTACTGAGATGGTGTGAGTATAACGAGGTGGTGTGGTGTGTGAATGTACAGAGGCATGGTTTCTGAGTGTACTGAGTTGGGGTGTGTGAATGTACCAAGGCAATGCGAGTGTACCAAGGTGGTATGTGTGAGTGTACTGAGGCAGGGTGTGTGAGTGTACCAAGGTGGGGTGTGTAAGTGTACCGAGATGGTGTGTGTGTGTACTGAGACAGGGTGTGTGCCAAGGTAAGGTGTGTGTGTAACAAGGAGGGGTGTGAGTGTACCGAGGTGGTGTGTGTGAGTGTACCGAGGCAGTGTGAGTGTACTGAGGCAAGGTGTGTGAGTGTACTCAGACGGGGTGTGTGAGTGTACCAAGGTGGTGTGAGTATACTGAGGCAATGGGTATGAGTGTACTGAGGTGGTATGTGTCAGTGTACCGAGGCAAAGTGAGGGTATTGTGGTGGGGTGTGTGAGTGTACCAAGGTGGTGTGAGTGAGTGTACTGAGGCGGTTGAGTGTACTGAGGCGAGGTGTGTGAGTGTACCGAGGCAGGTTGTGTGAGTATACCGAGGCGGGCTGTGTGAGCGTACTGAGGTGGTGTGTGTCAGTCTATCAAGGCAGGGTATGTGTGTGTACCGAGGCGGTATGTGAGGTACTGAGGCAGTGTGAGCGTACCGAGGTGGTGTGTGTCAGTCTATCAAGGCGGGGTATGTGTGTGTACCGAGACGGTATGTGAGGTACTGAGGCAGTGTGAGTGTACCGAGGCGGTGTGTGAGTGTACTGAGGCGGTGTGTATGAGTGTACCAAGGCAGGTTATGTGAGTGTACCAAGACTCTGTGAGTGTACCGAGGCAGCGTGTGTCTGTACCGAGATGGTATGTGTGAGCCTACCGAGGCGGTATGTGTGCATGTACCGAGGCGGGGTGTGTGAGTGTACAGAGGTGGGTTGTGAGTGTACAGAGGCAGGGTGTGAGTGTTTTGAGGCAGTATAAGTGTAATGAGAGGTGGTGTGTGAGTGCGAGGCAGGATGAGTGTACTGAGGCAGGGTATGTGAGTGTACCAAGGCAGTGTGAGTGTAATGAGGTGGAATGAGTGTACTACGGTGGTGTGGGTGTACCGAGGCAGTGTGAGTGTAATGAGGCAGAGTGTGTAAGTGTACCAAGGCGGTGTGAGTGTACCAAGGCAGGGTGTGTGAGTGTACTGAAGCAGGTTGTGTGACTGTACCGAAGAAAGTTGTGTGAGTGTACTGAGGCAATGTGAGTGTATCGAGGCGGTATGTGTGAGTGTACCGAGGCCAGTTATGTGAGTGTACTGAGGTGGTATGAGTGTACTCAGGCAGAGTGAGTGTACCGAGGTGGTGTGTGTGAACGTACTGAGGTGGTATGTGTGAGTGTACTGAGGCGGTGTGTATGTGTGTACCGAGGCAGGGTGTGTGAGTATGCTGAGGTGGATGGTGTGAGTGTACTGAGGCAGGGCATATGAGTGTTCTGAGGCAGTTTGAGTGTAACAAGGGTGATGTGTGAATGCATTGAGGCAGGGTGAGTGTACCAAGGCAGGGTGTGTGAGTGTACTGAGGCGGTGTGAGTGTAACAAGGTGGAGTGTGTGAGTGTACCAAGGTGGTGTGACCGTATGTGTGTACCAAGGTGGGGTGTGTGAGTGTAGCAAGGCGGGTTTTGGTACGAGTGGAGTGTGTGTGTGTACCGAGACAGGGTGTGTGAGCCTACCAAGGCAGTGTGAGTGTACCGAGGCAGGGTGAGTATACTGAGGCGGGGCATGTGAGTGTACCAAGGTGGGGCATGTTTGTGTATTGAGGCAGTGCATGTGAGTGTACAGAGGCGGGGTGTGTGAGTTTACCAAGACGTGGTGTGTGTACTGAGGTGTGAGTGTACCGAGGCAAAGTGAGTGTACCAAGGTAGGGTGTGTGAGTGTACCAAGGCAAAATGTGTGAGTGTACGGAGGCAGGGTATGTGAGTGTACCGAGGCAGGGTTTGTGAGTGTACCGAGGTGGTGTGAGTGTACCGAGTTGTGGTGTGTGAGTGTACCGAGGCATGGTGTGTGAGTGTACCGAGGTGGGGTGAGTATACCAAGGTGGGGGTGTGTGAGTGTATTGAAGCAAGGGTGTGTGAGTGTACCGATGCAGTATTTGTGATAGTACCAAGGTGGGTTGTGTGAATGTACTGAGGCGGAGTGTGTGAGTGTACTGAGGCGGTGTGTGTGAGTGTACTGAGGTGCTGTGTGTGAGTGTACCAAGGCACTGTGTGTGACTGTACCAAGGCAGGTGGTGTGGGTGTACTGTGGTGGGTTGTATGAGTGTACTGAGGCAGAGCGAGTGTACTGAGGTGGGATGTGTGAGTGCTTGGAGGCAGGGTTTGTGAGTGTACCGAGGCGAGGTGTTTGAGTGTACCGAGGCAGTATGTGTGAGTGTGCCAAGGTGGTGTGTGTGATTGTACCAAGGCGGGTTTTGTGATTGTACCAAGGCAGGGTGTGTGAGTGTACCGAGGTGGGGTGTGTGAGTGTACTGAGGCAGGTTCTGAGTGTGCCAAGGCACTGTGTGTGAGTGTACCGAGGTGGTGTGTGTGATTGTACCAAGGTGGGTTGTGTGAGTGTTCCGAGGCAGTGTGTGTGAGTGTACCGAGGGGGTGTGTGTGAGTACACGGAGGCAGGTTGTGTGAGTGCACCAAGGCAGTGTGTGAGGGTACCGAGGTGGGTTGTGTGAGTGTACCAAGGCGGGGTGTGTGAGTGTACCGAGAAAAAATGAGTGTACCGAGGCAGGGTGCGTGAGTGTACTGAGGCAGGGTGTGTGAATGTTCTGAGGTGGTATCTGTGAGTGTACTGAGGTGGGGCATGTGAGTCTACCAAGGCGGGGCGTGTAGGTGTACTGAGGCGGGTTCTGTGAGTGTGCCGAGGCAGTGTGTGTGAGCGTACTGAGGCAGTGCGTGTGATTGTACCGAGGCAGGTTGAGTGCACCAAGACAGTGTGTGTGAGGGTACCAAGGTGGGTTGTGTGAGTGTACTGAGGCGGGGTGTGTGAGTGTACCGAGGCAGGTTATGTGAGTGTACCGAGGTGGTGTATGTGAGTGTACTGAGGGGGTGTGTGTGAGTGTACCGAGGCAGGTCGTGTGAGTGTATCGAGGCAAAGTGAGCGTACTGAGGCAGGGTGTGTGAGTGTTCTGAGGTGGTATCTGTGAGTGTATTGAGGCAGGGTGTGTCAATGTTCTGAGGCAGTATCTGTGAGTGTACCAAGGCTGGGTGTGTGAATGTATCAAGGCGGGGTATGTGAGTGTACCAAGGCACTGTGTGTGAGTGTATTGAGGCGGTGTGTGTGTGTACTGAGGCAGTGTGTGTGGATGTGTGAGTGTACCGAAGTGGTATGTGTACTGAAGTGGTGTGTAAGTTTACCAAGGCAGGGTGTGTGAGTGTATCGAAGTGGAGTGTGTGAGTGTACTGAGGCATGGGGTGTGAGTGTACTGAGCTGGGGTTTATGTGCGTGTGAGTGTACCGAGGTGGAGTGTGTGAGTGTGCTAAGGTGGGGTGTGTAATTGTAATGAAGCAAGGTGTGTGAGTGTACCGAGGCAGGGTGTGTGAGTGTACCGAGGCGAGGCGTGTGAGTGTACCTAGGCGGGATGTGTGAGTGTACCAAGGTGGTGTGAGTGTACTGAGACAGGGTGTGTGAGTGTACCAAGATGGGGTGAGTTTACCGAGACAGTGTGAGTGTACCGAGTCGGTGTGTGTGAGTGTACAGATGCATGGTTTGAGTGTACCAAGGCAGGGTGTGTGAGTGTATCGAGGCTAGGCGCGTGAAAGTAACAACGTGGGGCATGTGGGTGTACCGAGGTGGTGTGTGTGAGTGTACCAAGGCGGGGTGAATGTACTGAGGTGGGGTGTGTGAGTGTAATGAGGTGGGGGGGTGTGAGCATACCAAGGCAGTGTGAGTGTACTGAGGCAGTTGAGTGTACCGAGGCGAGTTGTGTGAGTGTACTGAGGTGGAGTGAGTGTACTGAGGCGGGGTGTGTGTGTACCAAGGTGGTGTGTGTGAATGCACCGAGGTGGTGTGACTGTACCAAGGCAGTTTGTGTGAGTGTACCGAGGCGGGTTGTGTGAGTGTACCGAGGCGATGTGAATGTACCAAGGTGGTGTGAGTGTACTGAGGTGGTGTGTGTGAGTGTACCGAGGCAGTGTGTGTGAGTGTACCAAGTCGGGGTGAATGTACCGAGGTGGGGTGTGTGAGTGTAACAAGGTGGAGTGAGTGTACCGAGGCAGTTGAGTGTACCGAGGCAAGTTGTGTGTGTGTACCGAGGCAGGGTGTGTGAGTGTATTGAGCTGGGGTGTGTGAGTGTACCTAGGCAGGTTGTGTGAGTGTACTGAGGCGGGTTTAAGTGTACCAAGGCAGTGTGTGTGTAACGAGGCGGGGTGTGTGAGTGTATCGAGGCAGGGTGAGTGTACCAAGGCGAGTTGAGTGTACCGAGGCGGTGTGAGTGTAACGAGGCAGAGTGTGTGAGTGTACCGAGGCGGTGTGAATGTACTGAGGCAAGGTGTGTGAGTGTACCAAGGCGGGGTGTGTGAGTGTACCAAGGCAGGGTGTGTGAGTGTACCAAGGCAGGGTGTGGCTTACTGTGTATGCTCATGCCTTTATGTGCCCACATCTGCCAGTGCCTGTGTCTGTGTGCACGTGCATCTCTGTGTCCCTGCATCAGTGTGTGCCTGGCCTCTCCGTGCCTGTGTCTGTGTGCACCTGTGTCCCTGTGTTCCCCCATCAGCATGCGCCTGGCTTACCTGTGCCTGTGTCTATGTGCACCTGCGTCTGTGTGTGCTCATGCCTGCGTGTGCCCACATCTGCCTGTGCTCATGTCTGGGTGCAGCTGCATTCCTGTGTCCCCGCATCAGCGTGTGCCTGGTCTTTCCGTGCCTGTGTCTGTGTGCACCTGCTTCTGTGTGTGCCTGTGCCTGTCAGTGTCCACATCTGCCGGTGCCTGTGCCTGTTGGTGCAGATACCAGTGTCTGCCCGCGTGTGTGAGTGAGCACACTAGCACAGCGGCTCCGAGCAGGGCTTTCTTTGGTTCCCTCAACCCAGCCTCCTTTCCCCACCCCATCCCTGGGATGTGGCTGGTGCTAAGGTCCTGCTGGCCCTGCCGTGAGGGAGCCCCCGTGCCACACTAGGGTTCCATGCACACTGGCTCCCAGCAGCCAGTCCTCGGATGCCCCTGGGAAAATCCAAATGGGCCTGAGGAGGGGCAGGAAGCCCGTGCGTGGTGGTGGTGGAGCCCGGGGAGGGCGGAGCCGGCAGGGGAGTCTGGGTCTGCATCAGCCAGGCGGCAGGAAGACAGGCGGGCGGGGTAGGCCCAGGGTCACCTCCAACTCCAGCCTCTCCTACCCACCCTGGCAGGGCCCTCACCTCACTCCGTCACCACGGGGTAGCTGCTCCATGGACTGTGTGGCTCAGGCTTCTCAGGACAGGGAAAGAGCCCTTCTCTGGTGTCCCACAGGCCAGGGTTTGAATCCCACCCTGCCTCCCTAGCTGAGCCCCAGCACCATGACAGTGGGCCTCATGAGGGCAGCTGTAGAGAGTGCTCTGCTCCCCACGTCGGTCTCACCAGGAGGTAGGGCAGCCACTCAGTCCCTGTTTCAGGACTGGCCTGACAGAGCTCACCCCACGGAGCCGTTCCCACACCACCCTTTCCTGGTGTGTGCGAGCTGGGGAGGAAGGCCTAGAATGCCGGGGGAGGCGCCAGGAGCATCAGGAAAGGCCCTAGTCCTCACTCACCATTGACCACTGTGCGTCTAACATGCTCCAGCTAAGGAGATGCAGTTCTTGCTCTCGCTGAGCTAACCTCGCAGAGGAGACGGGAAAAAACCCAGACAGTTATGTTGTAATAGGCCCTAAGAGGTGAGATATTGAAGAATAAATGGGAGTTTGCAAAGGGGATCGGGGATGGCTTCCAAGCTGTTTGGAGAGCGGGCAGCCAGTGCCTGGGGCACTGTGTAAACGGCTTGCGCAAAGGCCCTGAGGCAGTGAAGAGCTGGACTCCCTCCTTCCAGAAACTTAAAGAAGGCCAGTGGTGCCAGGGCACAGTGAGATGGGCAGGAGCAGGAGGGAGAGGCAGGCAGGGCCCACTCGAGTGGGGCTGAGGCATCGAGCTGGGTGAGGCAGCGGGGAGCTTGTCATGGCCTAAGCGCACAGCGAAGCCAGGGGTGCACTTGGCAGGGAGCACTTTTATCCTGAGGAGGTGACATTGGCTGCTGCGTGGAGGAAGGTGAGAGAGGAGGACGTGAGAGCACTGTGGGATCGGTAGTAGAGTGGAGGAGGAGAGAGGGAGAGAGAGAGTGGGGGGAGTGGGGGGAGTGCTGGAGCATCAAGGCTGCTGGGAAGCCAGCCATGCTGAGACCCATGTGGGCCTGTGGGTCTGTCCCTGCTTTACCACAGCACTGTGTCCCTGACCCGCAGGCATCATGCTGGGCCGCATGGGTGACAGCGGGGCCCCCCTGGTCAGCTTCTGCCAGTGCCTCAATGAGTCGGTCATGAAGATCGTGGCGGTGGCTGTGTGGTAAGCCTCCTCATTTACCCACCTCACCCCGGCCAGCCCTGGGTGGATGGAGGGAAGACAAGACCCCACCCTCTTCTCCCGTAAAGTGAGCAGAAAGCTGTGCCCAGGCTCAGCCCTGGGCCGGGGCCTCCGGAGCTACATGTGTTTCCATGGGTCCCCCAGCCCCAGCCAGGCCTGGCTCCGGCCCTGGGCCTGCCCCTTCCAGCCTGGTCTAAGAGCTCTGCCCGGCTCTGCTGCTCTCCTGGGCTCAGTTTCTCCATCACATGGAGCCTTATCAGCTCAGCTTTTGGAGAAAGGAAAGCTGGCGGTAAGGACTAGCCCACAGTTCAGAGTCCTCGGCCCACAGTTCAGAGTCCAGGAGCTCAGTGGGGAACGCAGAGGGAGGGCTGCCCAGGCGCACTGTGTAGACTCTGGCGTTGTTGGGCCTGAAATGGGGGCCTCCTGAAGGCAGGGCGGGGGAAGGAGTGGCAGAGGTTGTCTGGAGCTGGGGCGGTGGAAGTAACGGTATGAAGGACGCCATGTGCTGAGCCTGGGCCGGGCACCTTGGCAGTCTCGCTCTGTCCTCGCAGGAGCCCCAGGAAGCTCAGGGGGAAGGCCGCGCAGCGATGCGGGGCTGGGGCCGGGGTGTGTCTGCCTGCCTGGTTCCTGAGCCTGGCTGCCCCGCCGCCCCCAGGTATTTCCCCTTCGGCATTGTGTTCCTCATTGCGGGTAAGATCCTGGAGATGGACGACCCCAGGGCCGTCGGCAAGAAGCTGGGCTTCTACTCAGTCACCGTGGTGTGCGGGCTGGTGCTCCACGGGCTCTTTATCCTGCCCCTGCTCTACTTCTTCATCACCAAGAAGAATCCCATCGTCTTCATCCGTGGCATCCTGCAGGCTCTGCTCATCGCGCTGGCCACCTCCTCCAGGTAGCCCCGGGGACGGGCAGGACGGTGGGGAGCTGGGAGGGGCTGAGCCCTGTCCGTCTGTCCAGCCATCATTGGTTCATAGCCACAGAACCACCAAAACGCCAGTGTGGCCCACCTCACAAATGCGGGGACGGCTGGTGCTGGGGTAACAAGACTGACGTGGGGGACTTTTGGCCTTTGTCGAGGCCTCTCCTTCCCCCACGGCCCCAGTCCTCAAGCTCACTGAGTCCGCATGGGGGCGGCCTCGACGCGCCAGGGCAGACAGCACAGTAGAGTCAGTGGGAAATCACATTGGCAACGCACTGCTGCTGCCTTTTGCCCCACAAGGTGCTTCTCCTGGAGTCGGGCCCTGTGTTGCTCTAGGAGCTCGGCCTGTCCACTGCCGCTGGGATGTCCTGGCTGGGTGCCCTGTCACAACCTTGGCAGTGTCCCTAGACCTCAGGGACTTGAGCCATGGCTCTGTCACTCACTCGCTGTGCCTGGGCATTGCTTTCCTCATGCACAGACTGGGGGAGACTCCAGCTTCCAGCTCACAGGGTTGCAGTGGAGGTCGAGCCCCTCCTTGCCAGGCTGGGCCAGGTGAACCAGCACTTGGCCTTAAGGATCCCAAACCTCAGCCCAGTGCAGAGACCTCAGGAATTTAGAGTTGTGCAAACCATGTCGTTGGTGGAGGGGGCAGGAAGGAAGTGGTCCCTTATGGAGCATCTAGTGCTGTGAAGGCAGTTTGGCTCTCCCCATGGCAAGTGTCTGAGCTCCACATTAAGGGAGTCGCAGGAACTTAAGCCACATCTTTCTGGCACTGAAGGCCTCACTCTTCCCTCTAGCCCTCACTTGGGTCTCAGTTTTTCCATCTGTAAAATGCCCTGCAGGCCTCTGTACCCAGCAGTCATATGACACCCACCCCTGGCAGCAGATGCACCTCCTGCAGGATTCAGGAGCAGACCCCAGTGAAGAAAAGCCCAGGAGCCATTGCCAGGAACACCCTCCCGCAGATAGGGGGTCAGAGGGCAGGACAAAGCCCCAAACATGCCAGCTCCCATGCCAGGGGCCAAGCCAGCCAGAGCCAGCAGCCCCCTGGCCATCTCCTGCCAGCAGGAACCGCAGCCTCAAGCCCAGCAGGTCTGGAGCTCCTGAGAGGCTCTGGCGAGTAGAACCGGCCTTCCAGGCAGAGGCCCGGGGGAGAGGAAGACACAGGGGCCACACCGGCCTGTTTTAGTCCCAGCACTGCCACTGGGAACTCTCATGACAAACATAGTAATAATAATAGTCATGGTCACCATTGACTGAGTGGGTACAATGGGCCAGGTGCTGTCCAAGCCCGTAGTCGTTTAATCCTCCTAGTAGCTCTGTGACCCAGGTCTTTTTGGGACAAAGATGCTGAGGCACAGGGTTCAGGAACTTGCCAGGACCACTTGACAGGAGGCTGGAATCTAAGCCCAGACAGCCTGGCCCAGGGCCCTGCTGCTCAGACCTCCATATCCCTCGGCACAGCAGTGTGACATGGGTCAGCCCCGCCCTCTGGGCGTCAGCTTCCTCATCTGTAAAATGCACCCAAACACCTCCCTCATAGGAAGAACCAAGTGAGAGCACTGCAGTGCCCGCGGTCCTTACCTCCTGCCGGAGCAGCGCTGCAGAGGCACAAACACTCCTGGCGGGGTGGCTGCCTGGGGAGGGGTGAGCTTCCCGACAGAGGCCCCAGCCATCCTGGAGGAGGGTGCTGGGCAGACACCGGCCCCTCTAACCGTAGCTCAGCCACACTGCCCATCACCTTCAAGTGCCTGCTGGAGAACAACCACATCGACCGGCGCATCGCTCGCTTCGTGCTGCCCGTGGGTGCCACCATCAACATGGACGGCACTGCGCTCTACGAGGCTGTGGCCGCCATCTTCATCGCCCAGGTCAACAACTACGAGCTGGACTTTGGCCAGATCATCACCATCAGGTGCACCCTGACACTGCACCTGGGTGGATGGGGCGGGGGCTGGGGGCCTTGGGGATTCCCAGGCTCCCAGACTTGAGGGGTATCTGAAGCGAGCGAGCCTGGGCTCGGAGCACAGCAGGCAGAGGGCCAGGGCTGGGAGCTCCGAGCCTGGAGGACAGCCCGGGAGGGAGGGCATTGCTGGTGGCCACAGGGCGAGCGGAGGCCAGGGACAGGACTCAGGACCTTGGAGAGGCCGCCCGTGTGGCAGGAGCCAACGAAGGGGTGCTGGGATGCGGCTGAGGCTGACGGAGGCCTCACAGCCCAGCCAAGCACACAGGTCTGACCCTGGAGGCCAGGCCCCAGAGGCAGGCAGGCAGAGCCATGTGGTGGTCAGTCAGAGTCCCTGGGCAGCCCCATAGCAATATAGCTTCCTGGAACCCACAGAGGCACAGCTCCAGACACAGGTGTTTGCACAGTTCCCAGGGATTCTCCTGAGGCCAGGAATGGGGGTCCATGGGGCTTCAGGACTGTGAGGAGGGACTTGACCCCGAGAGCTCCCTGGTGTGGCATTCCTACCCACCCCCCGCACCAAATGGCTGTCCCAGAGGCCCTGACACTCAACCTCTTCCTTGGAGCCAGACCCTGACAATGCACCCTGCCCCTCCTGCTGCTCCTCTTCCCCTTCCCACCCCCTGCAGTATCACAGCCACTGCAGCCAGCATTGGGGCAGCTGGCATCCCCCAGGCCGGCCTCGTCACCATGGTCATCGTGCTCACCTCCGTGGGACTGCCCACCGATGACATCACCCTCATCATTGCCGTTGACTGGGCTCTGTGAGTGGACTTTGCCTCTAGCTCTAGCCCTCTGGGAGGGGCTGACTTCAGGGTCAGCAGGGATCAGGGTGAGCGGCTGAGTCCCTTCCCCAGGGTAGAAGGCTGGGGACTGCCCCGCTTGGCACTGTGGGAGTGCCCTACTCATTAGCACAGGCCTGGCTGCATAATTTGTGGGGTCCAGTGTTCAAAAATGAAAATGTGGAACCCAGTCCAAAAACTGTAAAGGCCAGGCATGATGACTCACGCCTATATGTCCCAGAACTTTGAGAGGCCATGGCAGGAGCATTCCTTGAGCCCAGGAATTCCAGAGCCCAGCCTGGGCAACACAGTAAAATCCCCATCTCTACTAAAAATTAGAAAAGAAAAAATTAGCTGGGACTGGTGACATGTGCCTGTAATCCCAGCTATTCAGGTGGCTGAGGCACGAGAATTACCTGAACCTGGGAGATGGAGGTTTCAGTAAGCCGAGATGGCGCCACTGCACTCCAGCCTGAGTGACAGAGCAAGACTCTGTCTCAAAAAACAAACAAACAAACAAACAAAAAACAAACCTATAAAGAATTTCAAGACAGAAACAGCAGAGGATTAAACCAAACCTAACCCTTCTAAGCATGGGGACCTGTGGAACCCACAGCTGCATGCCAAGAAGCTGCTTCAATGATGCCAAAGGGTGGGCTTGGGAGGAGCCAGGAAGCCATCTGGCTGCAGGCTTTGCATGACAGCTGGTCACCGGCCGTGCTGTACTGTGCTGGGTTGAGCACTGCCCTCTTCCAGCTCCCCTTCAAGTGCCCACCACTCACCCCCAACCTTGGCTCACCAGGGACCGTTTCCGCACCATGATTAACGTGCTGGGTGATGCGCTGGCAGCGGGGATCATGGCCCATATATGTCGGAAGGATTTTGCCCGGGACACAGGCACCGAGGTGAGAGCAGTGAGATCCAGAGGCTGCCAGGAGGGTGGAGCCACGCAGGGTGGGCAGGGCACCAGATCTTCCACCAACCAGCTCGGCAGCCTCCAGCCAATCCCTCCCTCCATGCCTCTGGGCCTCGGTCTCCTCATCCGTTACAGAATGACTGATTCCTCTAACATCTATTTATTGAGCACCCGCTGTGGCTGGCGCTGATATAGACACAGGAGGAACAGTAGAACAAGATATGATAAAATTCCCCGCCCTCGTGTCGGGATGGTCTGTCCAGTTTAGCCAACATGTGAGCATTTGTAGGTCTGTGCAGGCTGTGTGGGCTTCAGGCTCCTTCTACAGGCAAATGGAGAAGGCTGTCCCCACATCATGGGGAAGAAGCTGAGGTCAGGCAGGGGATCCACCAATTCCCCAGATGGACCCTGTGGATTAAGTCCCCTCCTCTACTAAGCCAGCTCCAGTGGGAGGCAGGACGCTTGGGAACAGGAGCCCAGGGAGGCCGTGACCTGCCGAGGTCACACAGCGTGTCTGCAGGAAAATCCATCTTGTGGTTCCTAGCCCTGAGCTCATTCTGCCCCACTGGCCCTCAGTCCTCCCTCGTATCTAACCTTGGTCCCTCCTGCTGCTACAAAGACCTGTTTCCCTTCACCAGAAACTGCTGCCCTGCGAGACCAAGCCAGTGAGCCTCCAGGAGATCGTGGCAGCCCAGCAGAATGGCTGTGTGAAGAGTGTAGCCGAGGCCTCCGAGCTCACCCTGGGCCCCACCTGCCCCCACCACGTCCCCGTTCAAGTGGAGCAGGATGAGGAGCTGCCCGCTGCGAGTCTGAACCACTGCACCATCCAGATCAGTGAGCTGGAGACCAATGTCTGAGCCTGCGGAGCTGCAGGGGCAGGCGAGGCCTCCAGGGGCAGGGTCCTGAGGCAGGAACTCGACTCTCCAACCCTCCTGAGCAGCCGGCAGGGGCCAGGATCACACATTCTTCTCACCCTTGAGAGGCTGGAATTAACCCCGCTTGACGGAAAATGTATCTCAGAGAAGGGAAAGGCTGCATGGGGGAGCCCCATCTAGGGAGTGATGGGCCCGGCATTGCCTGAGGCCCCGCTGTGACAGTTTCCCCGGTGTGAGCCCGGTGAGGGCGGCAGGCAGGGGTTATCCGGCCCCACTTTCTGGATGACAGACTTGAGGCTCTGAGAGCTGAAAACACTTGTCCAAGGTCTCACGTTAAGGTCAAGACACTAACTCAAATCTTTCAAGCCCCGCCTCTCCTCTTGGAGGACAGGGCAGCCTGCAGCTGTGTCCAGGCCCAGGCCCCACCCCATAACAGGTGGCCTCAGCCACACAGTTCTCCCCAAGGGGAGCAGCCCAGGGCCAAGCCCCGCTGCCTTCCCCAGGCCACAGTGCGTCCAGTCTCCTGTCCTGCCACGTGTCTTTTGCAAAGCTCCTTGGATGTGGAGACAGATGTCTTTACTAGAGCTGAAAGGCCCCCTTGACACATCCAGGCCAACCTCCCATGGAATAGGTAGGCAAGCCAGGACTCCGGGAAGGAGGTGCAGCCAGGATGCTCTGGTGGAGCTGCCGATGGGGCCCTGGTGTCAGAACTCCCCAAAGGCCTGTGCGTCCAAGTGGAGTCAGGTTTTCTATTCCTTTCTGTGTTTGCAAATTCAGTGTTAACTAAATAAAGGTATTTTGTTTTTCACTTCTTGTGGGCTTCAACACCTTATGCTAGCCAGCAAATATGATATTAGCTACTGGGCTAATTAATACAGGCGGCCAGAGTGCAGACGGGCCTGTCTGGGCAGCCAGGATATGGGCGGGCCTATGCAGGTGGCCAGAATCTAACAGGCTTGTCCATTTGGCTGGAGTGTAGACAGGTCTGTCTAGGCTGCCAGTGTGTGGACAGGCCTGTATGGGCAGCCAGAGTGCAGAGAAGCCTGTCCTGGTGGCTGCAGTAAGGACAGTCCTATCTGAGCTGTCACATGCAGAAGACAGAGTATAAGCTAGCCTACCCAGGAGCCTGTCTCAATAACCACAGGGCAGCTGGGCATCGTCCAGTGTGGACAGACCTCTCTGCCATGGTCTAGGCTCTGCTCTGCAGGCAGGGCCTTGAGATCAGTCCCCAAAGAAGAAACAGATTTCCTTCCCAGTCTGGCTCCCCGTGGTGAATGCTTTGCTTTAGACAGGGGCGTGCCCAGGGACATTTCCAGATGGTCTCCCTCATTCTCACACCCCAGGCTGCCTCCAGGAGGCCTGCAGGGCACACAGAAGGGCCCTGGCAACACAGCCTGTTCCAGATATGCCTTGGGGAGAAGATACAGCTCTGGGGTCTGGAGGGGCTTGCACCATGATGCCCTTGAAGACACTAAGGCCCAGGGAGGGGACAGGCCTCCCCCAGGTCACTCAGCGTCAAGAGGGCACCTGCTCCCACTGCCCCATTCCTGAACTCCTTCCACCCTCCTCCCAGGGGTGGAGTGTGAGGAGTCTGGGAAGAGCACGACCCCAGGACACCTCCTCCCACTGCAGGGCTGGGGGCTGCAGGCCTCCACGAGAGCATCCTTCCTTCCCTGAGGCCTCCTCACCTGGGAGAGGTCAGATGTCATGCAATCGGTCATCCCACCTTCATGCAGACAAGCTTAGCAGCCCCTTCTAGGTGTCACATCTCTAAGACCCCTTGAGCAATCGAGTCTGTCCCAGCACAAGGCAGGAGTCTGCTCTTTAGTGGACTTGGCAGGAGCATCCTTACACACCTCCAGCAGCAGGGAGGTCACCACTTCCCGAGCATCTCAACCCACAGTGGGGCAGCTCTGCCCATCAGAGGCTCTTCTTAGCTCAGAGCTGGGTACCACCTCCCGGTGGCAGCTCTCCCACTGGGGTGGGAAGCACACTGGGTGCATCTGTTAGCTCTTTCCTGGAAAGGTCTGCGGAGACCTGGGCCCCCAAGTCGGCTCTGCTCCAGCTCCCAGGCCTGCCTCCAGTCCCCTGCTCTCCTCTAGAACCCACTAGTAACACCCTGTCAGTGCAAAGGTGACCCATGACCCTCCAGGTGAGCCCTTAACAGGCCCAAAGCCCATGAGGTCCTTTGCTTGGATGCTCCACCTCTGGGAATGCACAGCAAGCTCACAGGCCGCGTGTGCTGGTTCAGGCCTCACCTACTATTCCCGAGTGGGCCATCTGCACACACCTCAGGCCCCCTCGCCTGAGGCTATGCCCTGTTCTCCCAGGATGCCTGCCTGTGCAGCTACTCTGCGGGCCCCGAGAACTGGACTTTCCACTGATGTCTGCTGTTCTGGCCAGGGCGCTGAGGGGCTTGTATCCTGCCCCCTCCACCCGGCACCAGGCCAGCACCTGGCAGGAAGCAAGCACAGACATAGCCACAGGCTGCAGGGATAGGGATAATGCTTTTATATTAGTTTTTCTATAACAAGAAAAATCAGCTTTGAGATTTTTATCATTTTTTTCCTTAGAAAAGAATAAAAAATAAAGGCACCCGGAACTTCCCCCACAGGCCTGAAGAACAAAGGTGTCTCCTAGGTGCAGCTGGGTCCTTCCTCCCTGGCTCAGCCCAGCCCCATCACCTCTGCTTCACTCCTGCCCCAAGGCCCCAGCAGCACCCAGGGGGCTCTCCCATCCTGCCTCCACTGGGCTTGCCCATTGGAAAAGTGCCTGTGTCCTGCCAGGGCGTGGCAGGGAGGGACTCTTAGCAGAGTGACTGCCCAGCACCTGGAGGAGCAGGGTGGGCCAGGCCAGGCCAGCAGTCCTGAAGGCTCCTGTCCCCATAGGATGGGAAAGGAATAAAAGCCAGCTTTTGTGAGTTCCAGAGGGTGGCAGGCACCTGGCCACAGAGCATGGATACCCTTGTGTCTTCTCCAGGGAACGGACGGACAGATGGACAGGGCAGACGGCGAGCTGCTATGGCTGATTCTGGCTGGGGCAAGAGCTGTCTGTGGCATAGGCTTTGGAGGGCTGTTCGCACATGACTTGTGCATGTGTGTGTGTGTGGTGTGTATGCATACGCATACACATGTCAGCAGGGGGAGGGAATGGGTGCCTGTGTGTGCCAGGGCAGGGGCAGACCCTTCCCTGCATGATTCAGAGGGCGTGGCAGCGGTAGTGGGGGTGTGACAGAGACTGTGGTGGTTTGGAGGGTAGTTGTGTGTGGCTGAGCTGGGTGTTTGAGGGTGTGATGTGTGTGCATGTGTCTGGCCGTGGGACACGCCGTGGGAAGGGGTGGGGATATGAGACTGTGTCAGCCCGTGTCATGTGGGATGCCTCATGTGTGCAGCTGGGTGTGTCTGTGTGAGCACGGCAGAGTGGGGGGCTCACAGCACACAGGCGTGTGCTGCAGAAAAGAGTCCGGCGGTCCATCGTCCTGTGGAACATGTAAGAGAGTCAGGGGCCAGCTCAGGGCAGACCCACCAGCCCAAGCAGCCTGAGGGGACCTGCTGTGGGGAGCCCTGCTGGAGGGGGCTCTGGAAAGGCCAGGCTACTATGAGTAGGGAGGGAGCGTTGGCCCTGGGAGCCCAGAGCCAGCGGGGTGCCAGAAGGCCTTTGGGTCCCACCAGCCACTCCCCAGGGCTTCTCCCAGAGCCCCACTCAACTGACCTGAGATGGGGCAGATTCTCACCCACCCCAGGACTCCACAGCCCCTCATGAGGGCTGTGGTGTCCCCACTGGATGGCCAGTCACCCTGTCACCCACCCCAACTCTGTGTGAGGACAACACCTCAGAGAACCAGCTCTACCTTCATACTCCCGGGCCCTGGGAGCTGGGGAAGGTGACCCCCAAGCTCAGCCTCTTGCCAGCCCCTCCACACTTGCGGATACCCAACTCTGTGCACACTCTTCTCTCACCATCAACTTGCGCCCTTCTCCCAGCTCCCTCTGTCACCCACCCAAGTGGCCCTCAACAGCCCCCTCTGGTTCCTCTTCGTCCCAGGCCCTACTTCAGTCAACACTCAACAGTGGCCCGGCAGCCCCTCCCACGGCTACGTCCTGGCCCTGTGACCCCCAGCCTGGCTCACTCCTCACCAGCTCTCCTCTCTCCTCCGACCACACAGCCGCTCCTGGCTCCTCTCCAATGTCTTTCTCTGAGTCCCTGCCCACCAGCCCTCCTATCTGCACCTCCTTCCCTACCCAACCTGACCCCAGGACCCATGCCTGCAGCCAGCCTCCGGCCAACACACTCCCTTGTTCCTTGCCCTCCTGTCCTGAACTCTTGGCTGAAAAACTCAGCTGTGGGTGGATCCACCTGTCCATTTTCTCCATACCTTTGGTCTGCGGAGAACCTCCCTGCTGCACAGAGAAAACGGAAGACTGGAGGGATCCGGCTGACATGGCTTCACATCTGGCCACCAAGCCACCAATCTGCCTGTGACAGCAGCCACCCTGCCCTTTGTTCCTCCTGCTAAAGCCAGCAACTTCTACCATTCCCACAGGGGCCCTCAAAGCCAGCTCTTTCCTACATCGGTGACTCCCCCTCCAGGCCAGCCTCTTCCCACCAGCACCCAAGCCAGCCCCCTCCTTTAAGAGGGTGCGTGTGGAAGATGCATGTGTGTGTCGGGGCATCTTGCCAGAGCCCCTCACACAGGGCTCCCCTCGAGAGGCCTTTGCTTCCTGTGAGGCTCAGAAAATGAGCGTTTCCTGAACTTCACACTCCATTCCCACCTCTGCCCTCTCTCATCTCTCACAGCCAAACTTCTCAAAAGGCTGGTCTGCAGTGCCTGGACCCACTTCCTTTCCAGCTGCTCTTCTCATCCCAGCTTCCCCTGCTGCTACAAAGTCACAGACAGCCTCCAGGTGGAAAAATCCAGTGGGCGCTCCGCAGTGGTCAGCTCCCTCAGTGCTCAGTTCCCTCAGCCCCTCAGCAGCACTGACACAGCCAAGTCCCCACTTCTAGACAGGCCTGTGCATGCACGCATCATGTGTACATGTGTGCATGCAGGTGTGCATGTAAGGGCCCGTATACGTGGGTACGCATGGGTGTTTTGTGTGCATGTACTCACATGCATGTACACACGTGTGTGCACGTATGTACATAGTCTAGGCATGCAAATGTGTCATGGGGTACAAGCATGTATGTGTGTCTGTGTGCATGTGTGTGGTGTGTGTGTTCTGCCTGTGCATGGTTTGTGGATGTGTGTACATGTTGAGACGTGTGTGCACATGAATGTATGTGTGTTGGTGCATCCGTGTGCATTTGTGTGCATGTGCACATGTAGGTGCCTGTGTTACATACATGTGCAAATGCCCTCTGCCCACGGCAGTCTGGGGTTTTCCTACCTCCTTTCCTAACTGCTCTGTCTCAGTCACCTGCCCCCCTCACTCACTCTCCCATGGCAAGCTTCCCCAGCCCCCTGCAGCTTGAGTGATTGTTTCAAGGCTAACAATGCCTGGATCCCTCTCTCCAGACCAGACCTCACTCCTGAGCCCCGACCCACATGTCCAGTGCCCCCCGGTCACTCCCGTGACAGCACCCTCATGCTGGGTGAGAATCTTCTGGAAGGTGTGGGCCTCCCGTAGGCTTCAACCTTTCACCCACGGCCTGGTACATCCCAAGTGCTCTTATAAATTTGCTAAATGGGTGGATGAAGCAGAGGCGAGAGGGTGAAGAATGGACAGAAAGACCCTCTACCAGGGTCAGGAAGGGGAAAATGCAGGGAGCAGAAGTGAGTGCTGCCCCATACAGGCCACATACCTAGGTCACATCTGCATCACCTTGTCACTATCTTGTTTCCTCTTCCTCCTCCTCCTCCTCTTCCTCCTCCTCCTTTTCCTTCCCCAAGCGGCCACGGTCCTTGGAAATGTCACCAAACTCTAAGTTGCCTTCAATGTCCAAGACCTGCAGGTGCTTCAGCCTCCGGAAGGCACTGTCCACCACGGAGCCCACAGCCAGCTTGTTAAACCTGTGTGAGCATCGAGGCAGTCAATGCCAGGAGCCCAACCCCCAAGGAACCCTCCCTTCCCCCGACTGGCCTCTCCAGAAGGTAACAGGGGAGGGAATGGCCCTCCCGGAAAGTGGTGCAGCAGGCGGGAAAGGCCAGGGGCTGAGAGCGCAGTACATGATGGAAGGTACAGGCCGGTCAGGGCAGCTGCAGCTTGTGGTGGGGCTGGCTCTGGGCCAGTCTCTGCAAAGTGAGGGGTCTCTCTCTGCGCACACTCTCACTGCTATTTTGGAAGCCACAACTTTGGGAGCTGTCTCTATGCCATCCCTGGCATTAACCCCAAGGCCTGAGGCTCCTGGGCTGCGGTAGCCAGGGGTCACCGCAGTGCCTGATGTGGAGTGGCACAAAGGCAAGGCCAGCGCTGAGCCAGGCCAGGGCCACACTCAGGGGTGGAAAGGTGGAGGCTGTGGCTCTGATCTCAGGCCCCTCACTCTCTGTGCTTCAGCTACCCTGCAGATGCCTGAGGCACATGTCAAGCCACCCTGATATCATCGAGCCCAGGGCTTTCTGGGCAACCGAGCTCCTGGGAGCACACTCATCTCTGCCTTGTCTCCTTCTCTCTGATTTGGGGGCAGGGATTGTGGGAAGTGCTGGGAAGAACCACCCTGGCTCTGCTGCATGGAAGCCCCTCATATCCTCAGGGAGCTGCATCCCCCGAATCACTCCAAATCCCCATCTCTTAGCCCCAGAAGCCAGGGAGGGCCTGAACATCTATTCCTGAGTGTGAGGCCCGGACCCAGCCTGGATGGCTGCAGACACAGCAGTCACCTGTGCTCTCAGGGCCTCAGCTCTCTCAGCTGCAAACCAGGAAGATGCTGTCCAGCATCCTTTCTGCCACAGTAACATTCACAACGCCCATGCGCACTGGCTTCTAACGTTTCCAAAGCCCTTTTACAAACCTAGGAACCATATCGGGCCTGGCCAGGACTGTCCCCACCCTTGAGATCTGAGCCGTGGTTACACAGGCAGCAGTGGAGCCAAGCTGTTCCCACGTGCATCAACTGTCCCGTTGGAGCCAGGGTGGGCCCCACGGGGGTGTGTACAGGGCCGCGAGTGGGCTCCTACCTGAGAAAGATCCCCTTGAGGTTGGGCGTGGAGTCGAAGGCATTGGCGGGCACCGCACTAATCTTGTTGTTCTGCAGGTACAGGTACTCAAGTGACTCGGGGAGCCCCTCGGGGATCTCTGTGAGCTGATTCCCGGCGATGTCCAGCAGCTGCAGGGGTGACCAAGGGAGTCAGGGACTCCCACCTGTGCAAAGCACTTAACAGCTTACAAAACTCCCACCAAGCCCCCAGCCTATCTAAATCTAACAATAACCCTGTGTGGAGGAGGGGGGGTGTCTATAATTATCCCCACTTCCCAGATTGGGAAATAGAGGCTCAGAGAGGTTAAGTGATCTTTCCAAGGTCACATAACCTATAAAAGGCTGTAGCCGGGTGTGCCTGACTCCAAACCCTTATTCTAATTGATGAACGTCCTACCCAGCTTCTTGTGCCTTCCCACATAAACCCACAGCCAAGATGTTTGGGTGTCACAGTCCTATCTCCTGACACACTTGTCATTCCCATTAGACTTGGTCATTCCCAAAGATCTCAAATGGGCAGAGCCCAGGGATCCCCCAGACTCTGAATCTCACCCCACTGGCCCTGGATGGGTGCAGTGGGAGCTGCTTGAGTGGGACTGCTCACTTATGGACCTCAGGGGCCACACGTGCAGAGGTCAGGAGCAACGGTGTGAGACCCACAGTGACCCCAGCACAACAGCCAGGCCCCAGGCCATTCTGTCTCAGATCATCACATGCCTGGCATCCAGGGGAGGGCAGTCAGGAAAGTGGGTTCCCACAGGGAGCCGCTGAAGCCACTGGGCAGTGCCTAAACTGGCAGCACCCCACCCTCCCTCCCAGGTTCTCTGATGAGTTTCCTTTTTTTTTTTTTTTTTTTTAATTTGAGACAGCGTCTCACTCTGTCGTCCAGGATTGAGTGCTGTAGCGTGATCATAGCTCACTGCCAGCTCTATCTTCCTTAGGCTCAAGTGATCCTCCCACCTCAGCCCCCCAGGGTGAGATGCATGCCACTGCACGGGGCTAAATTTTTTTAAGTTTATTTTTTTGTAGAGATGAGGTCTCATTATGTTGCCCGGGCAAGCCTCAAACTCCTGGGCTCAAGTGATCCTCCTGCCTCAGCCTCTCTAACTGCTGAGATTCAGGCATGAGCCAGCGTATAGAGTGGATTTCTCTTTCACCCACACTGGTTGAGTTGGGGGTTTTGTTACCAAAGTGAACTATGTGCCCAGGCATCCCTGCCTAATTCTGACCATGTGGTCACAGCAGCCACATCGACTGGCCAGCCTCAGAAAGCATGAGTAGATCCCCACCTCCAGCCCTCTGCAGACTGGTGAGGTGGGCCCACAGCTCAGGCTGTCCCCTCTGCCTCCCATCCCAAAGCCCAGCCTTCTCCACATACCTACTCCTGTGCCTGCAAAGGGGTGAGCTTGACTCTCCCATACATACCACCCGAACTGGCCCCCGGTCCTCCTGAGCCTAGGGCCCCTACCTGCAGCCATGACCTTCCTTACCTCCACAGCCCTTCTCAAACCTGTATCTGCAGGTGATGAGCTCAGCTCGGTCATACCACCTGTACTCTGCCCCTCACTCTTGTACCTGCAGGTGGGCTGGGCTCACCCTGGCATGCCAGCCACACCCTCTGCCTGACCCACCTCCTGCCTCCCCTAAGGCCTAGCTTCGCCTTAGCCAGCATCTCCAGCAGATACCTGAAGGTGAATGAGCTCAGCCTGGCCATACCAGAGGAACCTCCCTCACCACCCAGCCCTTCTCCTCACCCTTCAGACAGGTGGGCTCAGGGCAGCCATGCCAGTACCCCCCTCCATGGGCATGGCTCAGCCCCCTCCCTTCCGCTTACCTGCAGATGGGCGAGGTCCACCCAGGCACGGGGGCCCAGGGCTCGGCTGCGCAGTCGGTTGCTGGTGAGGTACAGCTCACGCAGCTGAGCCATGCCCACCAGCGCCCCTCGTGCCAAGGCAGCCAGCTCATTGCGCTTGACCTTCAGCACATGGACATTTCGAGGCAGCCCAGGTGGCAGCGTGTGCAGCCGGTTGCCCGACAGGTCCAGCGAGCGCAGCAGGCGCAGCTTGCGGAAGGCGTCGCGGTGCACCTGCGGGCTGGTGATGCGGTTGTAGCTGAGGTTGAGCTCCTCCAGGAAGTAGGTGGTGGCAAAGTCTTCGCGGCCAATGCCTGTGATCTGGTTGTGCAGGATCATGAGGGTGCGCACGCGGCGAGGCAGGCCACTGGGCACGCGCTCCAGCGCGTTGTTGTACAGGTGCACCGTGTGCAACCGCTTGAGGCCCTGGAAGGCCAGTGGGTGGATGCCCTGCTCCCGCAGCTGGTTGCTGTGCAGCAGCAGGTACTCCAGGCTGCGGATGGGGGTCAGCACATTCGCGTCCACGCTCCGGATGGCGTTCTTCTCCAAGTGCAGCAGCACCAGGCTGCGCGGCAGCCCAGCTGGGACCCGAGACAGGTTGTTGCTGGACAGATCCAGGTACTCCAGGCTGGAGAGCTTCCTGGGGCAGGGAGGGAATTAGGACGGTTGGCAAGAGCCCACATTGTGCTCGTTTCCACCATGATTCCCAAGAGATGTGGCTGGGGAATTGCCACTAGCTCCTCCCAGCTCTGCTGCTCACTGACTGTGGGCCCTCAGTCCTTGCTCCTTGGGTTGACTCAATGATATTCTGGTGTAGGAAGGATCCGGCATTTTCTGACACACAGGAGTTTACTTGAAGACCACTATTTAACCTTTTGATAGCCTTTTATGGCTACCCTGGTCCCTTAGAAAAATGAAAATGCATTTGCCTTCAGCAAGAATGCCCGAGTCTGTATTTCGCACCAAGAAGCCAGCCTCCACCAACGCTTCTTTGCCTCACTGGAATCTTGGAAGGCCTTACTTCTACATAGTCCTTGTTCCCAGGGACAGAAATGTCAACAGAGGCACAAGGCTTAAAGTTCCTTCTCCAGGGAAGGTGGGCAGGGGACGTGCGTGAGGGGCTGGGCTGGGCTGGATGGTTGGCCCTGAAGGAGCTTCCCGGGCCCCGTGGTCACGCCAAGGACCTGGTGAGACAAGGACTCACCAGAAGGTCTCGTTGTCCAGGCCCTCGTCAGTCAGGTAGTTGTTCTGCAGGTATAGCTCGCGCAGGCTGCTCAGCTCGCTGAAGGCCCCCGGGGGGATCTTCTCCAGCTTGTTGTTCTGGGGGATGGAAGGGAAGGGAGGAGATTGTGAGGGAGGGCCGAGGGCAAGGTCAGGGCCTCGGGATGAGGTGTGGAGAGGAGTCTGGGAAGCCACCAGGAAGGCACCCAGACCTGAAGCAACCCAGGTGTGGGGCCACCAACGCCACACACAACCCACTGGCCAGGTGCCCGGGTTTCTGCCCACTTCTCCACAGTAGACTCCTTGCTGTCAGCCCCGGGGCCCCACTTGGGCAGCACCTGTGGCCATGTGGGCCTGAGCTCTTCCCCTGCAGGCCCCTGCCCCAGTGCCCTGGCTGTGGGGTCTGCTGTGCCCCTCCTTACCCCTCCCCTGCCCACCTTGAGGTGCAGCTTGTACAGGGCAGGCGGCAGGTGCTTGGGCACGTGGCGCAGGAAGTTGCTGGACAGGATGAGGACCTCGACGTTGCTGGAGCCGTTGAACATGTTGTCCGGCAGCCCGGCGTCTGCCAGCTTGTTGTTGTGCAGGTACACAGACCTGGGGGTCAAGGCACAGGTCCTCACCCACCTGGGCTCCCCAGGCCCTGCGCCAGCTCAACTGGTGAGCCTCTAAACCCTTGCCCAGGCTGCTCTCCTTCCATCCAAACTCAAGGGTACAGAGTTAGAAGCACCTCAGATGTTGCCTACACAGCTGACAGAACCAAGGACCAGAAGGGGCCGTGCCCCACCACAGGTGGTCCCATAAGCTAGCGGGAGAAATAGGATTTCCTGACCCCTGGCAGAGGCCCCTCCACGCCTTTCAAGGTCTCAGTTGACCCCTGACCCTTTCAGCCCTGGAGTCCTTGCCTGACTCGCGGCCCCTTCATCCCTGCCTGTCAACCCCACGCAGCCTGGCTCTGAGTTCCTAGGACTTCCTAAACACAGGGCCTATCTCTGCCTGCCTCTTTGGCCCTAGTGCCAGCACAGGGCCTGTCTCAGAGGAGGTGGCCCTCATCCATTCAGCAAATATATAGTTAATATATTATGTAATATAATATATTAAATAGAGATATATGCATATATATATAAAAGGTGTATAAATAAATATATATATGAGATGCCAGAGCTGTTCTAGACTGAGGGCATAACAGTGGACATGACCAATGAGACAGACCCTGCCCTCGTGGACCCAACATACTAGAAGGAGGGAAGACAAGGAACAAGGGTCATCTGTGACAGACACAGCTCAGTTTTGCTGTGTGGCCCGTCTTGAGCCTCTGTCTGTGGGATGGGGCCGTGTACAGTGGTCCTGGGTCCTCAGACAGATGGAGAGAGTCACTGAGATGGCAGACGCAGGGATGGAAGGGCACTGGGGTTGTCCAGCCCCCAAACTGTCCTGGAGGCGGCTCCCCGGCAGCCCCCCACCCCGCCTGCACCACACTGCTCTCTCGCACACCTATGCTGGGGGGCGGTTGCTCCTCCCAATGCAGCTCAGCGAAGGGCAGTTCTGCCTGTTGAAAGATGCTCCCCTTCCCCAGGGGCTGGGAAAGTGGGGACATCCTCACTGGTTCACCACAATTCCTGTAGACAACACTCTCTGTCCTCACCTCCTGGCCCGAGTTGTCCTCCTCTGTTAGGGCCCCTGGGTGTCCCTCCACCACAGCCCTGAGTGCAGGGCCTCCTTCGGGACCTGTCTCTGCCTCACACAGGATGGCAGCCTCCACCTCAGCCCCTCCCCTTGCCCCAGCCCGAGCCCTGACCACCCCCGACCTCTGACCTCAAGTTTGGCTTCTGGCCAAAGGTGAGCCCATAGATCTTGGTGAGATAGTTGGCAGCAAAGTCCACACTGATCAGGGCGTTTGGCAGGAAGCGGGGTGCCAAGGTCAGCTGGGAAGGGAAGAGTTGGGGCCGAAAGAGCAATGGAGGAGCAGAGGCCAGCTGTGGGTCCCACTGCCTGCTGCCCACCGGGGCCCCTTCACTGTGTCTCCCTGCAACCAGGCCATCTTTCTCAAATTGAAACTTGTCCCACCCCCTCTGCAAAAACAAAAACAAAACCTCTCTGGCTGTCCTCAGCACTCAGCTTGGCATTCAAGGCCCTCAGGACTTGTCCCCTGCCCTGCCCGTCCTCCTGGGTTCATCCCGCGTGGATAAGGGGCAGAGGTGGGTGTGGCTTTTACACCTGATCTTAGCCAAAAGACCAAGAAGCGATGGGTGTGACTTCAAGGTTGCTCTGGCTTCTCCAAGAATGGGGGGCAAGTGAGGAGGCAAGCGTCCAGGTGAGGGATGGGGGCCAGTGCGGTAAGAGCTGAGGACCTCAATGGGACTGGACATGGTGAGGAAGCTCAGGGCCCAGAGGCACCATTTGTGGCTTGGACCAGTGGGGCTGTAGGTGGCTGGAGATGCCCCCTTGCAGAGCTGGGATGACAGAGGAGGACTGGGTCTGGGTGCTGTGGGCGGGAAGCTGTAGCTTCCTTCCACTGGATGTCTAGGGGAAATGTCAAGGAGGCAGGCAGACCTTTGAGTCTCAAGTCCAAGGAGCAGAAAGAGTTGGAGACAACCACTGGACATGGCCATGATGCAGATGGGAGACAGAGTCTGGGAGGGCACAGGTCACCTCCAGAGAGTTCAGAGAGAGAAGGGGCTGGGACAGAGCTCTGGAGCACACCAAATATTTTGAACATGAGTACCCTTGTGCCTTCACTCATGACATTCCTTCTACTGCAGTGCCCCCCACCCTGGGGCCCCTGCCTAGAATCCTATTACCCTCCATGCCCCTGCTCAAATACCATCTCCTCCAGGAAGCCCTCCAGGTATGCCTTCCCCAGTGGGGACAAGCTCTTCCCCCTCTACACTCCTGTGGGCCTTGGCTTCTGTCTTCATGACCTGACACACTCTGATGCCCTGAGTTATAGGCATGGGGTCCGTGTCTCCCCCACCCCCGACCCAGGGCCATGTCTGAGCAGCAACAAGGACCCAGCAGGGAGTCCAGAAAGGCCCTGGTGAAAGTTCATGGAACTCAGGGAAGACAATGCCTAGAGGACAGGGCAGCAACCCCCCACCCTGCCTCAAGCCCCTCACCTTGTTATTGGCCAAGTACAGGTAATTGAGGTTGGTCAGATGCTCAAACGCCTTCTCTGGGAGCCCTTCAAAGGACAGGCATCGGTCAGAGCCCTGGATGGAGGAGACGCCACAGGGAAGCACAGCAAGCGCCCACCCTCCTCCCCCACCCGCCTGCCAGGACTAGGGAGGCAGAGGCAGCTCAGATCCCCTCCCAAGCAGTTGGGGGGCCTGCCCAGCCCTGTTCTTTCTCCTTGCTCACATAAGCCCAGGCTCAGAGGAGCAGGCAGTTATTGTCTACTGAGAGACTAACTCCTCGCTCTGAGTGGGGATGACCCCTGAGAGGTCAGGCCAGCAGCAGAGCATCCAGCCTGACCCTGTCCTGCCAGAAAGAAGTCCTCCCCTCCAGGAGAGCCCCAGAAGGTCACAGCCCCATCCACAGGCAGGGGGGCCGGGCCAGGAATGGCTCCACACAGGGTGGGGCTGCGGCTCTGGGCCTCCTCACCACCTGGCTCACCCCTGCTCCATCTGGCAGATGTGTCAGGACTCGGCTGCTACCGGGAGCCCTGCCAGGCTGGCCTCTGACTCTCGTTTCTGGGCTCCAAGACCCCCAGATGCTGGACCTCACCCACATATCTAACAAGAGGGAACAGTTATATAAACTGGCATGTCTCTCCATGGAACACCCTGCTGCCACTATGTAAGATGATGGTCAATGAGAGGCTTTAGCAACACGAGAGAGGCGGCTGAGCCGACGGCTAAGAGAAACAAAGCAGGCTGTGATATCATAGCATGTGTTCAGCCACGAGTTTAAAACACAAAGGAAAAAAGACCACTGGACTGTGGTGCTGGCTGCACCGCTGACTAAAACTCAGCCAATTATACCTTCAAATTGGGTAAATCCTACGGTACATAAATGATACTTCAAGAAAGCTGCTTTTTTAAAAATGGAAACAAATTTACCAAAATGTCAATAGTAGTTAATTCCGAGTGGCAAAATTATGAGAAATTTTCTCTTTCCATTTTATGTTACAAAGTTTCTATCCCAGTCAGATGTTATTTTCGTCATCAGGAAAAAAAAATCTTTTTAAAATGTGAGGACTCTACAACTCTTGGGTTCTAAAGGCCCTCGGAACCGAAGATCCTGTGACAAGGTTCTGGAAGCTCAGCTTCTCTGAAGCCTCTCTCCTGCGCATCCCCCAGGTCTTAGAAACACCCGCCTGGGGTGCACGGGAGGGATCAGAAGCTGGTTGGCGTGTAAGAGGTTTTCTCACTCTAGGGAGATTCTTCAACCAATCACTATGTCAATAGACACAGAGGTTTCCCATTTTTCACATGATGAAGATCAGGGATCCAAACTTCTTCAGAAAGCTAAAGAGGCACCATTTGTCCCATTGGAATGGCAGGCTTTGCAGCCATTGTTGCATAGGGATTACACAAATTGAAGAGCATGGGAAACACGACAATGTCCCTTCATCTGATCCACATGCATGTGGCAGTTCAAGGCTTTGTTATAGGAGCCATGACTGTTGGTATGGGCTAGTCCAGGTATCAGGAATTCTGGGCAAATCCTAAGCCTTAGAAGGAGAGATGCTGTCTTGGTCTTGTTGGAGGAGCTTGCTTTAGTTAGACAGCTTTTTTCACTCTTATTGCCCAGACTGGAGTGCAATGGTGTGATCTCAGCTCACTGCAACCTCCGCCTCCCGGGTTCATGTGATTCTTCTGCCTCAGCCTCCTGAGTAGCTCGGATTACAGGTGCCTGTCAGAACACCGGGATAATTTTTTGTATTTTTAGTAGAGACGGGGTTTTGCCATGTGGGCCAGGCTGGTCTCGAACTCCTGACCTCAGGTGATCCACCTGCCTTGGCCTCCCAAAGTGCTGGGATTACAGGCGTGAACCACCGCGCCCGGCCTAGTTAGACATCTTGAAACATGTCACCTGAATGCGCTTGATGGTGTTGAAATGTCCACCTTCTTAAACTGTTCAGATGAAATTAGTTATAAAGAAGACAGGGACGTCTAGGGAAAATGTCAAGGAGGCAGGCAGACCTTTGAGTCTCAAGTCCAAGGAGTAGAAAGGGTTGGAGACACAAGGATGGGAGGGCACCGGGGTTGTCCAGGCCAACCCTGACGTACTCCCAGTTGCTGCAGAATCTCACATGTTGGATGTTATATAAGGGTCCTATTTGCCCCAGTTAATTTAACTTTTTTCTGCCTGTCTTGTGGACTGGTTGGCTCTTTTAGAACTCTGTCCAAAAGTGCATGGAATATAACTTGTACAGCCTCCCACAACTGATACTATCTACGTGTGTGTTTAAACCAAATTTAGAAAGCTTAAGACAGAGTTGCATAGTAATAGTATTTATTAAAGAATCACAAGTGTAAACATGAAAATAACTTATGGATTCTAGTTTAGTTCTTTCGTAATTGCAGAATTATATTTTTGCTGCTGTTAGAATCATTTTTAAATGTCATCTTGAAATAGAATCCTGTATTTTAACTCATGCAAAGGTAAGTGAATGCTTTAAAACTGTGTGCATTGCTTATTTTTATTTTTTATTTATTTTATTTTATTTTTATTTTATTTTATATTATTTTATTTTTTATTTATTTTATTTTATTTTGCTTATAAACATTCAACTAAACAAATGACCTGTAATGGAATTGATGAATGACTTATGAGCATATGCTGGTTTGGCCAGACAGTATACACAAACTTATATACTACAGAATGTTATTACACTTGTGAAATTCTCTTGTCTAACCTGAATTTACATTCCATGGTGATAACATGGTATATGTATTGTTATTAAAGTAAGTGACTATGTCAAAAAAAAAAAGAAAGAAATATCCGTGTAGTGTTCAGGCAACAATAGGGAGCCCCCTTGCCCGTGTGGAGCTGGTTCTCATGCAGCCCCACTGCTAGCCTGGCCCGGGCCTGCTCTCTTCCATCCACACCCCAAGATCCGCAGGGCCAAGCTCTCCCCCTGGGCACCCAGCATCGTTCAGGCCCCCAAGGCCCCACTTGGTGTCCCTGACCCTGGGCTCTGGGTGGCCCCTCACCTCGGGAAGTCAGGCGGTTGTTTTGCAGGTTCAGCGTCTCCAGCCGGTGCAGCCGGGAGAGCTCCTCAGGGTAGATCTTTTCCAGCTGGTTGTTCTAGGGGGGTAGGGGGCCGCAAGGAAGCAGCATCAGCCTAGTGGGGTGTGCCCTGGACTCCATTCCCTACCCATAGCTCCAGTCCTAGAATCCAGTCCACCTGCTGGGCACCTCCCTTGGAATTCTCCCCCATGGCAGCAGACCCCCGGTGCCAGCTCTGGGCCAGGTCTGCATATGGGCTCTGGGGCACAGCAGTGATCACAACAGGAGTGTGGGTCCTGCCTTCAGGGAGCCCACACATGGACATCTACGGGCAGTTCAAACTCGACATGCTATCTCCTCCAGGCGTGCTCCTGGAGCGTTCCCACCTCGTGACAGGCAACCACAGCTGCTCCCCAAGTCAGAAACCACTTTTCCTTCCCCTCCTTGGCCCTGCAGTCCCCTCTCCACTTAGAATGAATGGAAAGCTGGGGCAGGTACCACCTCCTCCAGAAGCCTTCCTGGGTTGGGCTGGAGCTGAATTAGGAGGTTACTCTGGGCCCCACACACAGTCCTTCCATTTCCATCTGGTGCCTCTGTTTAAGAAGTCTCTGCCTCGCCACTGACTGTAAGCACAGGGCAGGGAACGCCGGGCCCTGCCTCCATGCCCAGCCCCTACACAGGACCAGAGGCCCAGTGCAGGCGCCTGAGAGAGTTGATGTGTGGATGAAAGAGCAAAGGAACCAACAGTAAGAGCTGCCCTCAATGTGGCCCTTTCTCTCAGTGGCTGCCCTGGCCTTGGGCTCCCACAGCCGCCAGCTCAGACCCACCAGTGTGGATGCCAGTAGGCAAGTCACTCTCCCGCACCAGGCCTGATCGCCTCTGGGAACGGGTGCCGCAGCCCCTCCGTCTCCCTAGGGCTGTTGGGCCGCACAAGGCGAGGATGGGTGCATCTGCACTCCAGGGTGCTCCTAGTCTGGACACTGTGTCCCACCTCTCAAGGTTCCAAATTCTAGCCTGCCCCTTGGCTGGAGACAGCACTCCATCCTCCAAGGCTCCAGAGTATTCTGTCAGGTCTACTTTGCTCTGGTTTTCCTGACCGTGTAATGGTGGCTGTGCATTCAGAGGGTCAGCTGCTGGGCAGGTCTGTGTCCATTTTCAGACAGAGCCTGGCTCGACTTACTGGGCCCAGCCTGGACTCTAAGTGAGCAAAGTGGGTTTTATTGTACTATCACAGTGCTCCGTGACTGGGACATCAGGAGAGTGTCACCTGGTGCGGCCAGGGCCCCAGAAATCTGACCTGCCCCAGCACCCTGTGGTTGGGAGTGGAGAGCCGCACATATTGGAGGTTCTGGGTGAACAGTTTGCTTGGAGTGTCAGGGTTCTGGGATGGGAACCAAGGGTGTGTGGGACAGCCCCCGTGACCACAGGTGCAACGCCGACCTCACCTGCAGAGATAGGTGGTTGGTGTGCTCAGGCAGGTCCCCCGGGAACTCACGCAGGTCAATACCGCCACAGTCCACGACGCCCTCCTGGGAACAGGCACAGTCTCGGGGGCAGCTGACCGCGGCTGGGCCAGGCCCGGGCTCCTCAGGGCTCAGTACCAGCACCGGCTCCTCCTCCGCAAATTCGTTCTCTTCGGGGCTCAGGCTGTGGCCGCCACTTCGGCCAAATCCTGGGGCCCTCACGGCAAGCACAGGTCCCAGGTGCAGCTGTGGCGGCAGCAGCAGCAGGAGCAGCAGCACCCGGCTCTGGGCCATGGTGCCTGCAGGGGGTGCCGAGTCAGATGCGCCTGGGCGCCAGGGCTGACGGAACCTGTGAGGTACAGTGGACACAGCTGGGGCCCTCGAAAGTCATGACGGGGCCCTCCCGAGCACAAAGCAGGGCCCACTCTGGACTGTCCTCAGAGCCCAGCCGATGACTGACTGCTGCCCTCCGCACCTGCCCAACCCCCACCAGGCTGCCCTCCAGAGGCGGGGGACGAGGTAAAGCCCTGTCCTCTGGCAGGTCTGCAAAACCTTCTGCAGCCTTCATTCAGCAGGCTTGGCCCTAAGGAGTCTGTACCCCTATTTCCTAGAAGGGGAAGCTGAGACACGACCTGGACTGTGCTGAACCCTTGCTATCCTGGCACTGGCGGTGTGGGAAGACCCCCTGCCTCCTCCAGCAGCCACAGGCCATGGTGAGCCAGCACTGGCAGGGTGCGTCCCGGCTCTCCAGCTCGCCATTCTCAGGCCTTCCTGACTTGGTCCTGACTCTCTTCCAACTGTCCCCTCAACTGCCCCCAGTTCTACAGGACTATTGAATAGCTCCTCCCTCCAGGCCTTTGCACATGCTGTTCCTTCTGCCTAGAGTGCCCTTCCTCTGTCTTGTGCAATCAGCATTTTCTTTTCTGGGAACCAATTCCAGTGCTATGAACATGGGAAGAGGGGGAGCAGCGGGACACTGAGATGCCCCAGGGCTCCCCATGACTGTGTTCACCCAGAGCTTAGCATTAGTTGGGTTGGGTTTTGAATAGCAAAGGTATCTTCTTCCCACAGAGAGCTGTGAGCAACTCTCTGTGTCTGGGTATAGGTCAAGCCCAGAGCCCAGCACAGAGAAAGGATCAGCGACTACAGCTGCTGCTGCCCTCATGGCCTCCCATTCCTGATGTGTATCCCCTCAGCTGCCCTCACCAGGGCCTGATGTGCTCAGTGACCACTGCCACCTGCCAGAGACCACTCCCTGGCATGGCCCCGGGTCCAGCAAGGATGGGGTACAGGGGATGATCTCAGGCCCATAGAGGAAGATGCTGAAAGATGCCATTGTCCCAGCAGTCCCGTGGCGTAGGCTTGGCTCTTGGTGGGTTCCTGGTTTCTGTTTACAGGGACTCAGACATCTCTGGGCTCTGATAAGACATGCTGGTAGCTCAGGTTCACTGACTCTCAGGTCCCACAAATCCCAGTTTGAGTCCCACCTCTGACCTTGCTGAGCCTCAGTTTCGTTGTCTGTACAATGCAGATAATACATCTAAACACACAGCTTCTGTGGAGTAAGATAAGATGCAAAGCACCTGGCTTTTAGGTGATGAGGTGATAAGGTGATGCAATTAGGTGATGAGCTGCTGTCACCACTGCAGCAATGACACACAGCAACATGCTGCACTAAGTGAGCAGCAGGGACAGCGGCAAGGACCTGCTGTGGATGCCTCCAGCACGGGGGACATTCACTCCTGAGCTGAGTGGCCACAAGCACTGGCTCAGGCTGAGCCTCTCTCCCCATCACCAGATCAGAAACCATGACCATAAAGCAGCTAGAAGGGTCTGGCAAGACCCTGGTCCTAGGAGGGTTTTGTAAACTGGGGAGCTTGACAATGATGTTAATGACTGGAGCTAGCGGCCTGAGCTGCAACCTTGGCTCTGGCCTCAGCTCTGGCTCTTATGTGACTACAATCATCTAAACCTCAGCTTTCTCCCCCATCCTTGGGGATGATAACAGCACTGTCCTTATGGGAAGACTGAGAGGGGTCAGTGAAATGCATGTACTGCACATAGTAAGTGCTCAGTAAACGTTAGCTTTTCCTGCCACTAATTGTCTGTTCCATGGGCATGGTCTGCACCCCTGCCACACCACTGCTCACTCCAGAATCCTCTGCTGCTGCTCCTTTTCCTTCCCTTGTCTAGATCTTGTAGATCTTGCTGGGCTTTTTTTTTTTTTTTTTTTTAAGACAAGGCCTCACTCTGTCACCCAGGCTGGAGTGCAGTGGTGCAATCATAGCTCACTGTAACCTTGAGCTCCGGGGCTGAAGTGATCCTCCAGCCTCAGCCTCTCAAGCAACTGGGACTATAGGGGGTCACAACCGTGCCAGCCAAATTTTTAAATTTTGTGTAAAGATGGGGTCTCTCTATGTTGCCCGGGTGGTCTCAAACTCCTGACCTCAAGTGATCCTCACATCTTTGCCTCCCAAAGTGCTGAGATTACAGGCATGAGTCACTTGGCCTGGACCTTCGTTTGGGCTTTCTGACCCAATCCCAGGCCCACCTCCTCCCAGAAGATGTTGCAGACATCGTAGCCGCCTCTGAGTTCCTGCTGCCCTGTGGTGGCTGTGGGAGTTCAGATACCACTTTGTCTCACTTGGTGGTTCACCCAGTTCTCTGAAGTAAGGGCCTATTTGTGCCTGGGCCTGTACTGGGCACTGGGGACACAGGTGAGGTGGAAAAGATCCCTGTCCTCCATCTGGAGGGGACAACAGACCCCGGTACCAATAACCACTGCCCACCCAGACTGGGGGTGAGGGGGCAGCGTAAAAGGGGTCCCAAGGAGTAGGAGGCCCTAGAGGAGACAGGAGGGGTGGCAGCCAGGCTTGCTTGACCCTACAGATCCACATGGTTGATGGAGACTCAGGTCTCAGCCACTGGCCCGGCAGAGAAACAGGGAGCCCGGCACACCTGCAGCTTCCAGGCTCCAGGGATCAGTCGGCAGCAGCAACTGGCTCCCACAGCAGCCCAGCCCTACGCTCACTCCACCACACCCCTGCTGCCCCTGCCCCTGACCCAACATCAGTCTACAGACCATCATTCCCATAGCACATCATAAACTCCACGGCCAGCTCAACAGCCATTAGCCACTTGCCCATCTGACCCCACTGTAGTCCGGGGTTCTAAGAGCGAGAGTGTGGGCACAGGCCCAGGTCCCAAATTCAATCAGGGCAGAAGGCCAAGGAGAAGAATCCAGGGGAAGGAGCTCTGGTCTCACATATCCTGTGCACATACCAGGCAGGCTGTTCTGCCTCCTCGCCTTCCATTTGGTATCTGTAAAAATCTGTAAACTGCATCAATAAAAATATTGAATTTATATTAACATTCTGCACCGTACTGAAAATGTTATCATCACCACTTTACAACTCAGGGAGCTGAGCCCAATGGGGTCAGCCAGTGAACAGCTGTTAAGTGGCAAAGCTGAGCTCCCAGCCCACGTCATATCAACAATGCTACGCTGCTCTCCCCTAGGCCAAGCATGACAGGAAGCAGGGGACCCAGACAGAAGACTCAGCGTGGCTTCTGCCCTTCAGAGGCCCACAGCTGCACCGTTCACTCCATTAGCCACTGGCCACATGTGGCTACTGGGCACTTGAAATGTGGCTGGTCCACATGGAGATGTAAGTGTAAAATGTAGTGTCCATAGATCTCAAAGATGTCGTACAAAAAAATAATGTAGGATACCTTATTAATATTAATATTAATGACATCAAATCCCATTTATTGTTATATTGATTACATGATAATATTTTGAACAGGTTAAATAAATGTTACCAGTTTCATTTTACTTTTTAAAATGTGGCTTCTGACTAGACAAGGTGGCTCATGCCTGTAAATCCCAGTGTGGGAGGCTGAGACAGGTAGATCACTTGAGCCCAGGAGTTTGAGACCAGCCTGGGCAAGATGGCGAAACTTCGTCTCTCTAAAAAATACAAAAAATTAGCCAGGTGAGATAGCATGCACCTGTAGTCTCAGCTACTCAGGAGGCTGAAGTGGGAGGATCACCTGAGCCCAGGAGGTTGAGGCTGCTGTGAGCCGTGATCGCACCCCTACACTCTAGCCTGGGTAACAGAGTGAGACCGTCTCAAAAAAAAAAAAAAAAAAAAGACCTCTAGAAAATTTTGCATTGCATATGTGGCTTGCATTTGTGGCTCACGTTACATTTCTATTGGACAGTGCTGGTCTGCAGCATTATGTATAAGCTGAGTATTATAATCCCATTCTAAGGGATGACTACCAGGCAAAAGGGAAAGGGTCATACAAGCAAGGGGGTCAATGTGTGCAAAGGCCCAGAGGCAAGACAGTTCACACTCACAAGACTGTCAGGTGGGGGATAGGGACTAGGAGTGATACAAAAAGGCACAGTCGCCACAAGCCCAGGCCACAAAGGAGAGACATGAAGGGCAGGTTAGGGAGTGTGGTCCTTATCACTGGAAGACGAGGACCACTGAAAGGCAGGAGCGTGACACAGGCAGGTTTGTGGGTGGACACGAGGGTGCGCAATTGGGACAGGTGAGGGCTAAGGGGCCTGCCCCTGGCAGAGAGAGAGGTGCTGGACTGCAGGAATGGAGGAAGAGGTAAGAAGGACAGACAGGGCTTGGAGAGTGGTCCCTCCAGCTTCGCCAGCCACTCTCAGGGCTGTGAGGCACTGGGAAGGTCCAGCCCTACTACCTGGTTTGCCGTGTGACCTTGGCCATACCACTGACCCATCTGAGTCTAAATTTTCCAACTTTCTTTTTTTTTTTTGAGACAGGGTCTCCCTCTGTTACCCAGGCTGGACTGCAGTAGCACAATCATGGCTCACTGCAGCCTTGGGCTCCTGGGCTCAGGTGATCCTCCCACCTCAGCCTCCCGAGTAGCTGAAACTACAGGCATGTGCCTCCACACCTGGCATCTGGCTAATTTTTTATTTTTAGAAATGGGGTCTCACTATGTTGCCCAGGCTGTTCTTGAACTTCTGGCCTTCTGCCTCGGCCTCCCAAAGTGCTGGGATTACAGGCATGAGCCACTGTACCCAGCCTTGCTCTTCTAAGAATGGAGCAAGATAAGCCCCCCAAGGCCCCTTCTGTGTACCCAGCCATGTGGGAGGTGTGTGGGGAAGAACAGGGGAGCTCCCTGGTCTCCAGGAGTTTCAAGTCCACCTGGTGAGGAACATCTCAAACCCCTGGACAGCGGGGAAGCTCAGCCAGCAGTGAGTGTTTCTCATATGGAGAGCTTTAGAGACAGAAGGGCATGGGTTCCAATTCTGACTGCTGTGTAAGCCTGGATGAGCCACTTTACTGCTCCGAGCCTCTGTTAACTAGTCTAAGAAATGGAGTTGGGAGCTACTTGTGAGAATTAAATGAAATAGCAGTCTCAGCCTGTCACCGCTGGCATCAAATAGGTGTGACATACCAGGGGTTACTGTTACTGAGAAAGTAAGTGGGACCCACTGTCTCCCCTGACCACTACCAGGGAACCAAACCTCAAGGCCCAAAGTGTGAGGTTAAGGTAGGACTAGAAGAAGGAAGGGAAAGGGAGCCCCAAATCAAGAGGCGGATCCTCAGCCCTCAGCACTACCTTCCTTCTCCACTCAAAGTCAGTACAAATCAACTGACCACCTGCTCTGTGCTGGGCCCCAAACAGCTGCATCTTATTGACTCTAATAGAAATCCTGGGACTACATGTTCGTCTTTCTATTCTGCAGATTTGGAGCTCAAGCACAAAGGGCTGGCATTGCTGCCCATCCCTAGAAAGCTCCTGCTGAAATGCCCCTGCTCAGGGAAGCCTCTCCTGCCCCCTTGGCTGGGTTAGGGTGTTTCTGGGTGCTTCCACAGCAACCTTGGCTGGCTTTATCCTTCAAGTCTCAGCTGGGCCTCCCCTGTCTCCCCAAGCATGGAGTGGGGGTGCTGGGGAAATGTTTGCTGAATGAACGACTTTGTGAAAGGCAGAGTTGGAAAAGATCTAAAGATCTGCAGTATGATCTGCTCTGACTCCCCCAGTTTGCAAATTAGTGTGTTAAAGCCAAGGCCAAGAGTAAAATGTGGGTCTTCTGACTCCTGCCCAGAGCCTTGAGTTGGCCTTGAAGACTGAGCGGGAGTTCTCCAAGTGGACGGAGTGGGAGAAACAGCCCTCCAGGCAGAGGTAGAGTGTGATCAAAAGGTAGGGGTGGGGCTAGAGGAGAGGGACGTGTGTTTAAGGAAGGGTCAACAGGGCGGGAGGCCTGGGTGGCCAAGGGCCTCCACCGCCATGCTAGTGTTGGTGATAGGGACTCATTAAGGGTTCCAAGCAGGACACGGCCAGCACTCGCATGTATGACTACACCAAGCCTAAAAGTGCCACCATTAGTAATCCCCTATCCTAGACTCAGACAGAAGGGATAAAGTGTGCTCCCACAGATGACATGAAAACAGTCGTGTGACTCTGACATTTCTTAACTTGCACTCTAGGCTAGAGTAGACTGGGTCTTGGGCCCTAAGAGTGGACATGAGGGAGCAGAACCCCCAGAGCAGTCCCCCCTGGTCTTTCCCAGGGCAGTCCACGGGCTCTTCTGAGTGACCTACCTCGGAATGCTGTGCGCCTGCAGATCAGCCGGCCTCCTTGCTCACCATGAGCCCTCCTGCCTCGCCGCTGCCTTCCCAGTGTGGAAGGTTTCTATATAAAGGAGGGATAGGGGACGGGACCACCCAGGGGCTCTCCCGGTTCACACCAGTGGCGCCTCGTGGAGCAGGGCAGACCACAGCTTCCCCTTCCCTGGCCAGCCGGTAATCGAAGGGCAGACAGGTCAGTAATTCACTCCAAGCGCTGGGTGAGCATCCTCCGCGCCTCCCGGACCAGCTCAGTCAGTGCCGCGCGCACCGGGGCCGGGGTGCTCGCCCCTTGCTGCCGCGCCTGCTCCTCTCCAAAAGGCTGCGGCTGCCTCTCCTAGCCCCAGCCCCCGAGGCTGCCAGGAGCCTCGCAGCCCCGCCACCACCTCCTCTTCCACCTGACGGAGCGTCAGGTATTCCAACGCCAAGATCTCGTCCCCCGCCCCAGGCCGGGCTGTGGCTCGGGGACCTGGAACCTGGGGCTTCTGCCTCATTCGCAGGAAGGCGCGGATCTCGCTCCTCGCGCTTCGCGGACCCCCACCCCTTCCTCCCTCCAGCTGTCCCGGCTGGGAAGCAGCCGCGTAGACAGATAGACGGACTCCAGACCGCCAGCTGAGACCTTTAGCTCAACTAGTGGTTGGCACTAAGCTGGGGCGGCACAGTGGCCGGGGAAGCCGAGCCCCGGAGGGGACCCACCCGGCGTCCGACGCGCCCTGGGGCCAGACCTCTGCCCCTCTCTGGGCCTCAGTTTCTCTATCTATAAAGAGGTGGAGGTTGGAGTCGCTAGGGGGCCTGATGAGTTGACGTGGAAAGACGCGGGGATACTTCGGGCCCAGGCTCTCATGACAGGGGTCCCCGCCCCTACGCAGTTCCACCTGCCCCCCACATTCCCTGTCGCCCGCCGGCGTCCTCCCACTCCAGCCCCCGCCCCCAACCGCCCTCAGATTCTTTCCAGATGTGCGCAGCGGGAGGGGCCTGGGGACGGGGACCAGCCTCTGCTCAGAGAGGAGAAGGCCCCTGCCTGGGTCCTGACTGCGCAGGGGTCGCACTCCAGAGGAGGAGATCTCCGGCCGTGCCCTGGGTGCAGGGTCCTACAGAGGGGGTGAGATGCGGCGGGCCCGCCCCAGGCAGCTGCTGGAGCCATCCGGAGAGGCGGGGACGTCTGAGTGCGCTGCCCGGGCTCAGCCCCCGGCCCCTCGGCCCACCCCGGCTGCCAGCGCCCTGTACCTGCTGCGCCCCGGCGCCGAGCGGCGCCCCACAGGCCGAACGCGCTCCCCCAGTCTCAGCTGCGCTCCGCGGGCTCGGGCTCCTTCCATTCAAGTCAAGCTGGGCGCTCTCCGCGACGCAAGTTTTGTTGTGGGTTTTCTCCTCCCCGCCTCTCTCCCGCCCCCTTCCCCCACTCCCCACCCGCCCCGGGAGCATCTGCTGGACGCCGGCCTCCTTCGGACACAGGCGTAGGGTCCCCCCAGGCGCGGGCAGGAGAAAGCCTGCCCCTCCCCGCTCGGGACTTGGCCGGTTCCCACTTCCCGGGGAGGCAGAGCCGCCGCACCGACCCCTCTCAGCCCCGGCCGCCGCACCACGCCCCCCGAACCCCCACCCGGGAGACCGGGAAGGCGGGCTGTCTGGTCCGCGACGCTTCCTAGTTCCCAGCCTTCCGCACTGGAACTGGACCCCCTTTAGGCCCCGACACCTGAAAGGAGGGCTGGGGAGAGGGGTCCTTCGACCCAGTGCCTCTGAGCTGTATCTTCCTCATTACAGAGGATGTTGCAACCGCTCCAGGCACGAGTACCTTTCCGTTCACTCTCCCACCCTGGGGTCCTGGGCCGTGGCTAATGGGGCCGCCAGCCAAGACCCTGCTGGGCCTCTTCCCGGAAAAGTTCCCCACGCTCCACCCCACCCTCCACTCCCATCCCTGTTGGCCCTGGGCCCACAGCCTGGTGAGCCTTGAAGAATGGTAAATTGGGCCGGAGTCGGGGACATGCAGATCCCAGTCACAGAGAAACAGGGCGGGTGAACAGTGAGACCTCACACCACCATATTGCTCCCAGGAACTGAAAATGTTTCCAAGTAAAGGAGTATTAACTACTACCAGCTGAAGCAACACTGTTTGGCGCCAGGGGCTTCGGCGGTGGAACAGGCAATGCGGCTGGGCTTAGGTGGTACTTGGCACCTCCACTGTGTAGCAAGCCTCCTCCCCTTACCTGCTCTGGCCTGTGGGCAGGGCATCCACAGCTGCCTCACCTGGCTGTCCTCCCACTGAAGAGGGAGAAGGATGCATAAGTCACACGTGGGACCCCTTGCTCAACCTTAACCTGAATGAATGAATGAATGAATGGCCCCTGTAAAGCAGCTCCAGACTTTTCACTGGCTGCCGCCCCCGTGAGGTTATACCATATGCATTATGCTCTGCTTCACAACTCCGCAAAGGAAGAACTGCTGCTGCCCCACTTTATAGAAAAGAGATGGCCTCAGAAAGGATACTTGACTGAGTAAAATGCCCATTCACTGGCAGAGCTGGGGTTTTGACCCCAGGTTTACCCTTCTCCACAGCCCAAGTTCTTCCCATGATGGAAACAGGCAGGTAACTTGAGCAGGCAAATGTAGAGTCTAGATTTGAACCCAGGACTGTCTGTTTCCATTACACCAACAACCCAAGAACTTAGCAAGAATGGGGAGGGAAAATATTTTGCCTTCTTTGGCCTCAAATTCCAGTCCTTTTGGAGCTCAAACTCACAAGAGTTGGTGTGATTCACAGCATTGGACCTGGACCAACAGAGATGCATCTCGTGTCTTCTCCTGAACATTGAGCCTAGATTCAAGTAGAGCTAAAAGGACAGGATTCTACTAGCTTGAATACTCATGGACTAAAAATCTTTTAGGACAATGAGAGCCAGCACATATTGAGTGCCTAATAAATGACAGGCACCATCCTAAATCCTTAAAATATCTTAATCATCCTAGCCCTGTGGGGAAGATATTCTCTATACTTATAACTGCTAAGGCCAAGGTGTTTCAGGGGCCCGCTACACGGCACACCACACACCCAGTACCCACCACCTCCCAGAGAAATAGGCTTTTCTATGGAATGCTGAGCAAATGCCCATGTGTGCTTTGTGGTTGGCTGCTACTATAGATACAAGCTGCAGGAGGAATCACTTTGAGTGTCTCTGGTGGAAAAATGGAGGCAACCTTGGTGCTCTAGAAGCAAATCCTCTTTCAGAAGGATTGTAAAGGCAGAGTTTGAAATTGAGGTTTCCTGAATCTACTTGTGCTGCTTCAATTCCTTCATGCTGCCCCTCAATTTCAGCTCCTGTTTGATATTACTGAAGTACATAGTGTCAAGTACAAGCTTTAAGCTTGGAGCTGGGTTCAAATCCTAGCTAGGTTCAAATGAATATAAAAATAGTACCTACACTTCACAGTATGTCTAAATTGGAGAATGCAAGTACAGAACTTTACATAGTACCTGTCACATGGTAAGTGCTCAGTAAATGGTAGCTATTACTGCAAAACTATCACCCAGACCTGACCAAATAGCCAGGAAACATTATTAAAATAGAAATGACAAGTGGCAAGAATTAAACAGTAACCTCTGTACTGCCCAGGGAAAGTGCCTTCTAATTCAAAACAATAAGAAACAAGAACACTCCAAAGAGGAGGGAGGAAAGACATACATTGATACGGTAGAGAGAGCTAGGAGTAAAGAACAAGAAGGCTCTCAGTGGGGTTTGATGATGAGAAACAGGAGATGAGGAACAATGAGCTCTTGTTATGCCTCATCATCAAAGAAGAAAATAATTCCTCCTACTTTGAGCTGAGGGCTGAGATCTTATTAAGCAGTAGAGTCCCAAATAGCTATGGCAGCAGCTTGATTTTCTGGACATTTAAGGAATCAAATCACATGGTGGTGTTTGGGGTATATGAATTCCATCTGAAGGACCTTGATGAAGGCAAGACTCTCCAGGGAACAAGAAGAGAATAATGAAAAATCTTCAGTCCAAGTCAAGTACACAAGGAGTCTCCTGGGCTGCTATAACATCTCATACAGACTCTTTATTATTGGAACTTTCTTGCTGTTTTTCCTCTTTCTCCCACTGGATTGTGAGTCCTCCAGGGCAAGAATCTCATGTTCTGCAAGCTCTCCTCTCTCACCCTAAAATACCACTGTGATAGGCAGAATACCCCCCAACCCCGCCCCAAAGATATCCACACCTTAATCCCTAAAACCTTTGGATATGTTACATGATGAAAGTGACTTTGCAGATGTAACTAAGGTTACGGACTTCAAAATAGGGAGCATATTCTGGATTACCCTGGTGGGCCTAATCACATGAGCCCTAAAAAACAGAGAACTTTCTCTAGCTGGAGAGAGAGAAGATGAAGCAGAAGAGGAGGTCAGAGAGATTTGAAACATCAGAAGGACTTGACTAGCTTTAAAGATGAAGAGGGTCATAAGCTAGGGAATAAGGCAGCCTCTAGAAAGTGAAACACCCGTAGGCTGCCAGGAATGGTACAGGGACTTCAGTCCTACAGCGGCATGAAACAGAATTCTGCCAGCATCTGAATGAATGTGGGAGCAGAGCCACCTTCTCCCCTGGAGCCTCTAGATAGGAGCCCAGGGCAGCAATACTTTGACTTCAGCCTTGTGAGACCCAGAGCAAAGAAACCAGTCAAACTCAACCAGACTTCTAGGCTACAGAACCGTTAGATAATAAATTTATGATCACTACTTTGTGATCATTTGTTTCATCAACAATAGAAAATAAAACAAACATGAATAACTAAAACTGGTACACACTTTCCCACACACTGTTTCACTTGATCTTCACAGCAAACATGATGGTATTATTGCCCCATTATTTTGGAAAAGGGGTGCTCAGGGAGGATATGCAACTTGCTCAGGTGACCCAGCTAATGAGTGCTTGAGTCAGAATTCAAACTCAGTCTTCAGGTTCCAACTCCAGTGAGAGTTGTCTCCCACACTGTAGCCAGCCAACTAGCTGTTACCTTAAGCTAAATAAAAATGGATGAAAAAAAGACAAAAAACAAATTCAGACTACTTTCATACTACAAAAACTTGAAGCTTTTGAATTCTCATTTCTTTTGAAGACTGTTTCTTCCAAAGGTATGTCATGTTTCTTCCAAATTAAGTTATGAACCAGTCAGGGTATAAACAAGTAAGCAAAAAGATCTCAAGTCTTCTTTCTAGCATATAGAAGAAAAAAAGATTTTGGTAACTGCAAACGGAGAAACCCTCAAGAGCGGCTGTCAATGAAATACCACTTTCTCCTGTTCAGATGATCTTTCAGCCACTATTAAGGTACATCTCCCACAATGAAATGCCCTGTTTTTGCCTTGTGGGTCTAGAAGCATCTCTGTGGTTGGAGCTTCTAGTCCACTCATGACCGATTTTTATTGTCTGGAAATTCAATGGTATTCAGTCTGAAATTTCTCTTTCTATATTCCTTCCCCTTACTTCTAATAACTAAGCAAAATAATTCCTCTCCCTCTTTGGTCTTTCCATCTCTCGAATATTCGTGAACTGATATCACACCCTGCGTTTGGGTATCATTTTGCCAAGCTTAAGTCTTCTTTCAGCCTGCCTAGTCAATTGTTCCTATACTACTGTGTCTTCGTGTCAAGTTATTTTCTATTTCTGTTCTAATAAAGTGTCTAATCTTGAACAGAGTGCTCTGTACACAACAGAAGGTGCCATATTCTAAAAGGTGAATCACACAACAACTTCCAGAGAGAGAAAAAAAATCACTGTTTGGTAGTTGGTTAGACAACTATCTGCAATTTAAATAAACAGCAGACTACAATTTCCCCCAGTTCTACATAAAAGTTTATGGCCATAAATTCAGAAACAAAAAGGTCAAGCACTTACTACATGCTGCTGGAAACAGTACTGTGAATATTTACAAAGTGTTTAAATGACCATTAATAGAATAGATAGACCAAATGCACATGACTTTTTGCAATAAGCTTTCATTACATTTTTAAAAAATTATTTCCCCTAGAAGTCTGGCTAAAATTCCATACCAAACTAAACTTCCAGCCAAATGGAACAGACTCCACATTTCTTAGGGGCCAGAAATCTGGCCCAATATTCTTTGTTCTTACCAAGAACTAAAGAGCTGTTTGTTCGCAGCAGTCTCCAGATAGATATAATACGAGACTGTTCCAGAAGATTTTGTAACTCTCTATTGAGAAAAACTCTAAAATTTGGCCAGATATGGCTGTGGTTCCTAATAGCTCATAAATCTTTCAGGCCCCTCATTAGCTGTTTAGTACCATACTCAACATTCCTAATTCATATCAGTGTGGTTTCTAAACAAGCTTACTCCCACAGAGTAATTTGCCCAGAGGTACCATCTGGCTGATTACCATTTTTTTTCCTAGTCAATAACATCAAGTGACTTCTTTCTGTTCAAAAAGTAATCATGGCATGGGCAGCTAGAATTAAATCTTCGGCTAAAATGCAAACCTTCTGAAAGTCAAACTAAATAATTCTATATCCATTCACTTAAGTATAGAGACCATTAAATTTTAATGGTTCTTGAGGAAAACATAAGGATGTAAACAGTTAATAAAAGCAAATTGTCCTCATTCTGAAGCCAGCTGATTATGTGAACTCAAATGATTATCATGGGCCAGGCATGGTGGCTCACGCCTGTAATCCCAGCACTTTGGGGAGGCAGAAGGTGGGAGGATCACAAGGTCAGGAAATCGAGAACATCCTGGCCAACATGGTGAAACCCCATCTCTACTAAAAAAATACAAAAAATTAGCTGAGTGTGGTGGTGCACGCCTGTAGTCCCAGCTACTTGGGAGGCTGAGGCAGGGGAATTGCTTGAACCAGGGAGGCGGAGGTTGCAGTGAGCAGTGATTGCACCACTGCACTCCAGCCTGGGTGACAGAGCAAGACTCTGTCTCAAAAAAAAAAAAGATTATCACAAAATGTTCCAATGAATAAATTTCATGTTAAAAAATTCCTTAAATAACATTTTGCAGCATCTACTCAGTACCTACTATGTGCTTGACATATTACAACTGCAATTGCTCATCTTCCTAACAACCAGGAAGGCAGACATTATGAGTCCCTTTTCACAGAGGGAGAAAGTCTCAGAGTCTTTCCTTGTTATTAGCTCAAGGTGGTCCCAAAGTTGTGTAAGTGCCAAAGGTAGAAACAAAACTCACATCTGATGGGCCCCAAAGTTTTCCCATTATACCAGGCTGTTCTAAATGTACTATTTTCTTTCTTTCTTTCTTTTCAGACAGCATCTTGCTCTGTTGCCCAAGTTGGAGTGCAGTGGCATGATCTCGGCTCACTGCAACCTCCACCTTCCGGGTACAAGTGATTCTCCTGCCTCAGCCTCCCAAGTAGCTGGGACTACAGGCACGTGCCACCACACCTGGCGAATTTTTTGTATTTTTAGTAGAGACGGGGTTTCACGATGTTAGCCAGGATGCACTCGATCTCCTGACCTCAGGTGATCCGCCCGCCTCAGCCTCCCAAAGTGCTGGGATTACAGGTGTGAGCCACTGTGCCCAGCCAAATGTACTGTTTTCTGAGACTGCTAAAGTTTCAGAAGATAAAGCTGTTAATTGTAGGATTTAATTTCATTTTTTTTCTAAGATGACATATGTGGGGAAAACAGAGGGAACTTATATTTATATGTGATTGACCCTTTCACAAAGTATTTTACAATTTAAAAATACCATTAATGATCATTGTCTAACCCTTATTTGTCCGAGAAACAGTTATTGATGCTGCTCTGGTGGACACTGCATTAATACTAGAGACACAGAGATGAGTAACAGAGTTACTGCATTCAAGATGTATACAGTCTAATGAGACTGACTGTAAAAAAAAAAAAAAATTCAACAGTGTCCCTCCTTTGCAGAGGCAGAAACTAAAACTAAATGCTGGTGAGGCTTAAATGCCTTACCCTAACTTAGCTTCCAGGAGGCAGAGACAGGACTTTTTGACCTGAAATTCCTCAGTGACTCCTTTGTCATACCCCCACCTCTACATGGACTTGACATGCTAGCAATGCTTTCCATTATTTTTCCTCTACACATCCAACAAAAATTGTAGAAATCCGAGAGTGTGAATTCATCTGAAAAAGTACAGCAACAAGACTAATGATTTTAATGCAGAAAGAACCCACCAGGCAACTTTTTATTTATTTATTTATTTAAGACAGGGTCTCACTCTGTCGCCCAGGCTGGAGTGCAGTGGCAGTGATCTCCTGGCTCAAGAGATTCTCATGCCTCAGCCTCCCGAGTAGCTGGGATTACAGGCGTGCGCCACCACACCCGGTTAATTTTTAAATTTTTAGTAAAGATGGGGTTTCACCATGTTGGCCAGGCTGGTCTTGAACTCTTGGCCTCATGTGATCAGCCTACCTCAGGCTCCCAAAGTGCTGGGATTACAGGCATGAGCCACCACACCCAGCCACCACTTTGTTTTCAAAAACATAAAAAGACCATTAATAAACAGATTTTTCTTACTACTTCCAAATGTTTCAGTCTGAAGTTGAAAGATCGTTATGGGAAGCTGCAAATATTTTCAAAGAAAAATTAGGAAAAGTTAGGCTAAGGGAAAAATTTTTAATGTTCTCTTTCATCATCAGGGCTACAAAAAGTCTTTGTAACGGAGAATGCAATTCTGTGACTAGGCTCTCATCCTCAGAAATGTTCCCTCTGTGAATATAAAATTGTTACTCGCCTATCTCCTTCATTCATTTAACAACAATAAGCCAAGACTATGCTGGAGATCTCAAAATGGATGCATGAGAGGCAGTCCTTTCCTTTAAGAACCTCTCTACTGGGTGGGAGAGAGAAACAAATGACCAGGAAGGAATGATTAGCTCTACTGTGTAACAAACCAGGACAGCTTCCTGAAAGCAAAGGTACCTAAGTAGGTCTTGAAGGGTGAAGAGAATTTGCCAAGTGAACTGTGTGGTGGGGGGCAAGAGTGGGGAGGGGGAAAATAGTGAGGGCAGGCACAGAGAACAGCATGTGCAAGATGACCTAGCTTAGACCTGTATTAGCTAATGTGCTTGCTCTATATTCATCACTTGGAAACTGAGCATATCACTACCAAATGGAACTCTTCTGTTCCTATTTTTCATAAAACTTTATGAAACCAATTCCAATATAGCTTTTATCCCTACTGCTCCACTGTTTTTTTTTTTTGTTTTGTTTTGAAACTGATTTTGCAGTGGTCACCAGTGACTTTCGCGTTGCCAAATTTAACCCAGTAGACACTTTTCAGAGATCATCCTACTTGACCTCTCTATTGAGTTCAAGTGACATAGTTGACCATTCCCATTTTGGCCATCTCTTCTTGGAGTTCTCCCTCTACCTCTCTGGCCCCTTGTCCTCCTCTACCAGACCTCAAAAAACTGAAGTTCCTCAAGGATTACCCTAACCTTCCTTTTCCCCAACCCAGGTAATATCCATTCCTGTAGCTTTAAATTCAAACCATATATTCATGACTTCTAAGTGTGTATCTCCAAGCTGACCTCACCTCTAAGCTCATCAAATCCAACCCTCTCCTTAATCTCTATTTGCAAACCTCTCAGGCATCTCCAAGTTAAAATTTCAAAAGCAGAACTTATTTTAACTACTGCCCCTGAAACCTGCTTGTGTCACTGCCAGTCCAGTCACGATCCACCATTCGGCTGGCCCGTCACTAGAAGTCATTCTTGCCACCCGCTCCCCCACCCCGCTCCGCCCTGCCCCTGACATTCAGTTACCAAGTTCTGTCAGCTCTACCTCTGCCTGTTTTTCCACATCTATCTCTTACTACTGACACCCTAGTCCAGGACGCCATTTTCTTGCACCCAGACAGCCATTCTCCAGCCCTCTGCCACCAGTACATTCTCCACACACCAGCTACAGCGGTAGTTTAAATTATTTCATTCCCGTTTGCAGCCCTTCTGGTGGTCATCAGTTCTCTTCACGAATATTCCCACTCTGCTTTCTCCTTCTGGTACATGTTAGGTTTCTGAAGTTAGGTGGGGCATGTGACCTTCTTTGGTCAAGGAGATGGGAGCAAAAGTGGTATGTATCACTTCAGGCAGAAGCTTTAAGAGCCAACATGCACTTCACCTTTTTCTCTTCATCTGCCATGATGGTCATGATGTTCCAGGTAGTGGCTACTCCGTTAGTCTGGGTTCCAGACCTAGGATATGATGGCAAGATGAATATGTAGCCTAAGTAAGAAATAAACATCTGTAAAGCTATATTGTCAACAGCTCCTGACTTTACTAAGAATGAAATACAAAAAAAGCCTTACCGTAATGAACAAATCCCAATAAAACTAGCTTCTGTGTATCTATCCGATCTTATCTCGGGCCTATCCTTCCTGCTCACTATTCCACTCACACTGGCCCCCTTGCAATTTTTGGAACAAATCAAGCCTGTTTCCACCCTTTCATGCAATGTTCTTTGCATGGTTTGCTCCTTCTTAACCTTCAGATCTCAGCTTAAAAATTACTTCCTCAAAGACATCTCTTTTAACTACTTTATCAAGGTCCCTCGCTATGACTGCTTATCAGAGCACCCTAACCATTTCCTGCTGGGCACTTCATAGTCAATAATAATTGTCTCTTTGACTGACTGTCTCACCCATTAGAATGTAAGCACCTTGAGAAAAAGAGCTGACTAGTATCTCCAGTGAGATTATGCCTTCTATATAGTGCTCTGTACATGGTAGGCACTCAATAAATACTCGTTAAATGAACAAACGAAAGACTCCAAAAGTGGGACATAACACTACAAACATCATTATCATATATCACAGGAGCAAGTGGTGCTGCTAATGGTGAGAAGAGCAAGGGAACTCACATTTACTGAATGACTACCCTAAACTAGCAACTGCTATAGGTACTTTACATGTTATCTCTCCAGCTTCTCATAATCCTAGGAAGCCGATATTAGTATCTCCACTTTATCAATCGGGCAACTAAGACTTGATCTCTTCAACTAGCACAACTAGTAATGGCAGTTTTAACTCAAATTAAAACTTAATCTCCTTCCTCCAAACTATAATACCAGAAGGGGGAAAAAAATCAAACTATTTTATCACTAAGTACTTTTCTATCATGCACACAAATTACATCATATATGAATATAATCCTACTGTAAGAACCAGTTTTTGTTTTTCCTTTTAGTTTTTGAGGTTCATCCTAAAGCCTATTTCAGGTATCTCTTGTTATCTGGGACAAGTGAGGAAAGAATGATGCAGCAAATCCAAACTACAGAGAAATCAGACATTTTGTTGAAACTCTTTTCTTGAAGTCTTTTTCTTCTCAGAGTAAGAAGCTACTATGATTAGGAAGTAGGTCTGTGTTCTGAATTCATTTTATGGAACTTGGGATCAACTTCTATTGGCTTAATGTATCCTCTTGCCCTATCACCAAATGCTGTTCTGCTGGTCACAAAACATGCAAAGCTAAATGGTCTTAGGAGATCTGATCCATAGTCCTGACTATATCAGCAAGGGCTCCAAACACCTAAACAAATGATACCAGCTGGTTGTCTACCTCTGACCACCTATGGGTGAAGTAATGAGTAAACAACAGAAAGGTGGGGCCTGGGTAATTCCCAAACCATTCTACTGTGCTCTGAGGAAACTCACAGGATTCTGAGCAGAAGGGACCTTTGGGATCATCTACTTAAATCTCCTAATAGTTTAGCAAACAGGTCCAGGCAGGCAGTTATCTGCCTAAGAGAAGCAAGTCTCTTGGCTCCCAGTCAAGTGCTCTTTCTATTATACCACACTGCCTCCCCAATCAAAAACTAGTGATTATGTCCAGATAACATTCAGTTTATAAATCCCCCAACGTTTCTCTTTATTCTGCATTATCTAGAGAGCCCTGAGCAAGAACATACACAGTAAAAACAAGAGAGGCCAGAAAAAGTTATTTTAATTTTCTATTAAACATTCTTCTCAAAGCATTATTTTATCCTATATCTCACTGAATTTTAAGAAATAACATTAGTATTAGAAAAACTAGGAAAAAAGATAAATGCAGATAATTAAACTTACATGAAAAAGGAAAATTATAACAAAGGACTGAGAACGTTATAAATTGAAATGAGATTATAATTTGAAAACTGCATCTGAAAGCAAACTTTATTGTTCAATTATTCTTAATGATGGTGTTTTATGACTAATACACTGATTTTTCAATAAGGAAACCCATGTTAAAAATATTTTTATTTTAAAAATAAGCCTGTGTTCAAGCTCTGATCATATTTCTTTTATTTTGATTTGGGAAGAAAATACTGTTTCTGATAGCATGAAATGCAAAATTTTTAGATTTTTAATCTCACTAATTTTAAGAACTATTGAGAAATTGATTAATGACATGAAGTGCACAACACTAATTACTGGCCAGCTGTTGGCATTGTGTTTCTTACTTAGTTCTCCCAAGGAAAACTCTTAAACTGAATCTTCAGCAGAATAATCCTTAAATATACTTTGTAAGCAAAACAAAAGCTTTTTTGTTTACATAGTTCTTTGGATTTTACTGTTCCTAATTTTATTCTGAAACTCAATTTTACCCCAGACCATAATTACCATATTAACTTTGTAATGCACAGTTGTATGCAATTCCGCAAAGCAGTAGTATACCATCAGGCTCTATTCACCCAGAGCATAGGAAAAACAGGATTGGTCACACCCATTAAGAAACAAATCTATCCCACGCTATTTGCCAATGTGTAGTTTCAGTCTAAATTCTGACAATAAAATGTATGGATATATATCTATATATCTCATCTTGATTTTCAAAAGTAGCCAAAGGGAGTTCTTCAGAGCTTAGCGTTGCCTGGCTGAAGCTGAAGATTTTGTAACTTCATAGCGAGACCCATGTTGCCAGTGATTTTCAATTTGCCTTGAAAGAAGGCCTGTGAAGAAGAAAGAAAATTCATTACTTGGTGTTTTTTTGTTTTAAGATTGCTGATGTTTCTACACTATCTAGCCCTGAGATCATTTATTTATCCAGGTCACATGACTTTCTCTAAAATATGAAACTTGGCTTTCTGGAATAGATTTGGAACCACATTCTTCAAAAGGAAGAATTTGTAAAGGCCACACTTTTTGCAGATCAGCAGAAAGGAGCAGCTTTCCCAAATTTCTCATAGAAATTGAGCCTGTTTTCACCTGTCCTCCTCAAAGTGGGTTCATACTACACTGATTATGTTTTAAAACATTCCATGTAGGTGGGAAATATGAACTGAAATTTTTAGCAGGCTGCTGAGAGAAAAAGCATACACAAAAAACACAGAAACTCTTGGGATTCAATCCAACATGCATGTGAATGAAATGCCACCAATGATAAAGGACTTATCCCTACAGAGGGCACAGAGCCTGCTGAGAATGAGGTGCTTGTGTTACTCTTTGGCTCAACAAGAAAAATCAAACCAATCTGAAGTGCAGAGCCACAATTTGTTCCATTTAACAACTGCCTGGGATTAGATCACATGATGTTTGCTAAATTTACCATGTAACAAAATCCCAGGAAAACTTAAGAGAAACAGCAAAATTGGGAACGTAGCATAATTTCCCTGCCATGATCTCAGTATTTTAACTGAATGCTTAAAATAAGGAAGGGCTAGATTTAAAAAAAAAGCTTCTGGTAGTCCTAGGTTTTTAACAGTACATTAAGAAGCTAGGAGCTCTTCTACATCATCCATGGGAATGTAAGGAGCTCTGTTTTTTTCTGTACCTCCTGGTAAGGGTGACTAATTCCTTTTTTTCCCCTTCCTCTGTCTGGACAAACTAAATATTTCCTTTCTATATGGCACAAAGCCTTCTGTCTGATGCCTTAAAGGTCAGGTGTCTCAGAACACAATATATTGAACAAACATCATTTAAAAATACGGACCAGTAGTACAGGAGAAACTCGCCACCTTTCTCCTTTGTAAGTTAACAAAGAAAATCACTTTTTATTTACTAACAATAGAGAAAACATGAATCTTCACCCTTCAGAGAGTCCATACATAAAGATGATTTTAATCTGGCCCCTAGGTGTTCTTCATGTACGCTTGCTGCTGGAGCCAAACACTGAAATTAGAATTTCCACTGCATTTAACGATTTCCAGTCAAATCCTCTGGAAATCCTCTGAGCATAAGGGAAGTCCATTAGCACATTAATAGAAAGGTCTGCTATTTTTATCTTTAATTCCTTTGGGTGTTAACAGGTGCTGAAGGAAAATAAGCTGACACCTTGCCCCCAAAATGGGCAGTACAAAGATAAATTGAGAGAATGAAGGCAGCTGATGTGTGAAGTCTGAACAGCCTGCCAAAGCTGTGCATGGCATGTGCAGTGGGTGGGAAGGAGGATGACAGCCAGCTCCTATACTGGTGGCCTCTGTTCTGTCCAGATTTCTGGAGCAGGCTCAGTGGAAATGTCAGTGCCAATGGTGTGTATTCAGCTGAAACATCACAGATGCAAATTTCTCACTTGTCATGGCATCAACTAAAATGTGCTTGGTTACGTAGAAAAAGCATTTTAAAAAAGCAAGTGGGAGTGAGATTTAGTTGTTTTATCCAATCTTGGAAATTACCAGAGAACCACAGGAATAAAACCTAAAACAAACCAGACTGAGACAACAGAAAAAATTAAGTTACATTGGAAAGAAACGTCTTAGTTTCTTTTTTATTAATGGAAAGCTCAGTATATATCAAGTTGACAGAAAGCTCACTATATCAAGTCCATTCAACACTGCAGCTGAAGAGCCTAAGAGGACCCTTGACAATTTGGGGACTAGGAAAATCTATACAAGGCATAAACACACTTTAGACAAATGCAATTTAGTCCAACAGTTGTTTACAGAATACCTAAAAACATCAGATACTGTGCTAAATTCTGGAAACATAAAGACAAATAAGATGTGCTTTGATGCTTTGAGACACTCACAGCCTAACAGGGAAGAGAGAGAGGCATATTATGACTAACATAACACAACAGGCACTAAGCTGGCAGTCCAGTACGTGGCTCAGGAGAGGGACTGGTTACAGCTCCCCAGCAACTTGGAAAGAGGTCCTTGGAGATAATATCTGAGCTAATTTTGAAAGACAAGTCATTTGTCAGGTAAGGACAGGTCAGGCAAAAAGAAGAGCATGGGCAAATAAATGGAATGTAAAAGGTCAGGCCTTTGTTCATGCCACCCCTCCCTCCTCCTGGAACACTCCTACTTTCCGCCTGGGTACTAAGCTCAAGAGCTGCTTCCTCTGTGGTGCTCTCCCTGATGGCCCAGAGAGATATGGCTGCTCCTGCCTTCATCCTCCCCTGACCACAAGCCAGGTGTGGCACCTTGGATCTCTGGCTGCACTGACTCTTTTACACATCTGTGGATGCCCTGAGCGTGGGAACTTTCTTACTCTTCTGGGCACTTCCAGCACACAAGACAGTGTGTGGCACACAGCTTGCTCCACAGACGTCTGTCAACTGTTTGGGGAACACTGAGTTTTGTGAGTCTGACCACTTTGCACTTTAGAGTCTGAGTCAGGAGATGGAGTAGAAAGGGCTGAAAGACCTACCTACTAGCAGGATATAAGCTCCATCATACTTACCGACTGAGGATTCATTTTACCAGTCATTAAAGCCAGGAAGTCTGAGTCAGCCATTGTGATTGTGCAGTCAGCCTTCTTATCTAAAACAGATACACAGGAGAAGGAAGGAGAATAGGAGGTGTTCAGTTTCACATATACATTTTTGTCAAGAGCCACTGACTGCAACAGAATTATAACCAGCACTGAGGCAGTGTGGGGAAATGGGCACTCACATATACTTCTATGGCAGCCTGGTAAAATGTGACATAAACCACAAGCAATCCTGATATTTAACAAGACGGAATTGATTAAATAAATTATGGTATATTCAAATAGTGAGGTATGATACAAGCCACAATAAGAAATGATATGGATCTGGATTTACTGACATGAAAAAATGTTCATGTTACATTATTCATGATATTATTATATAAGCCAGTTACAAAAGAAACTGTATGATGCCATTTTTGCTTAAAACAGAATTCAACTATATAAACATAGAAAAACATCTGTAAACTTAAGACACCAATATATTACTAATAGTAACTGTGACAGACTCTAAGGTGACCCTCCTGGTGTACATCCCCTTCCTTCCAGTGTGAGTAGAACCTGTGACTTGCTTCTAGCTAACAGAATATGGCAAAGATAATGAGATGTCACTCTTGTCATTTTGTTACATTAAATGATTCTACCTTGCTAGCAGACTCATTCTTGCTCTCCTGCTGGCTCTGAATGAGCTCACTGCTATGTTGTGGACTTCCTATGGAGAGGGCCACGTGGCAGGGAACTGGCCGTTAGGAGCTGAGGGCCAGCTCTGGCCTATAGCCAGTAAAAGAGGGAAGCTATCATTCCCAAGGCCACAGGGAAATGAATTCTGCCAGCAACCTGAATGAACTTGGACATGGATCCTTCCCCATTGAAGCCTCCAGATGAGAGCCCAGCCCTGGCCAAAAGCTTAACTGTAGCCTTGTGTGACTCTATGCAGAGGACCCAGCTAAGCTGTCCTCAGCCTACTTATCCATGGAAACTGTGGGCTAATAAATGTGGGCATTGTTTTAAGCTACTAAATTTGTGGCAATTTGTTATGCAGTAATAGAAAATGAATACGGTTCTCTAGATCAAGGGTTAACAAACTTTCTGTAACAGATCAGACACTAAATATTTTAGGCTTTGCAGGTCAGTAGGTCTCTATCACAACTACCCAATTCTGCCCCTGTAGTGCAAAAGCAGTCATAGATAATATATAAACAAATGTTGGCTATGTTCCAATAAAATTATTTTAAACAGGTGGCAGACAGAGGGAGGAGAAGATATTTGCAACTCATATATCTCTGACAAACAACTCATATACAGACTATATGAAGAACTCCTTTCTAAGGTACAGTGGATTACAGGAAAAGATAAAAAAAAGAACTCCTACTGCTCAACTAGAAAAGGTTAGACGATCCAATATAAAAATGAGCAAATGACACATGTAGGCATTATATAAAAGAAGATCTCCAAATGGCCAAGAAACACATGAAACAGTGCTTCACTTCATTAATCATCAGAAAATTCACATTAAAATCATGATGAGTGCCACATACCTACTAGAACAAATGGCTGAAATTTAAAAAAAAAAAAAAAAAGACAATACCCAGTGTTAGTGAGGATGGGAAACAAATGAAAGGTCAACATAATACCAGAAAGACTGTAAAATGATGCAGCCACTTTCAGAAAACAGTCTGGAAGTTTCACATAAAGCTAAACATACACATACTATATGAACTAGCAATCCTATTCCTAGGTATTTACCGAAGAAAAATGAAAACTTACGTCCACACAAAAACCTGTATGTGAATGCTTATAGTGGCTTTAAGATTCATACTTGCCAAAAGCTGGAAAAAACCCAAATGTGCATCAACTGGTGAAGGGGTAACCATTCAGCAGCAAAAAAGAATAAAATACTTCATGATCCATGCAACAGCATGAATAAATTTCAGTGAAAGAAGGAGGCTCAAAAAGCTACATACTGTATCATTTCATGTGTATGACTTCCTAAGGAAAGCAAAACTACAGGGAGAGAAATCAAACTAGTGGCTAAAAGGGCCTGAGGGGGCTGACTATAGAGGGACATGAGGACACTTTCTGGGGTAATGGAAACTGTCTGTATCTTGATTTCTGGTGATAGTTACACAACTGTATGCATTTGTCTAAATTCACAGAATTATACATCTAAAAAGGGTTGATTTTATTGTTTATTGTTAATTGTACATCAATTAACCTGATTTTTAAAAAAACCTGGCAAGTACCAAGTACTGTCAAAAATGTGGAGGAACTAAAACTCTCATGTAATATGGAAGGAAATGTAAAATAGTACATCCATACCCAAAACCTGCACTTTATCACCTAGCCCTGGGTGCGTGTCCAGTAGAAGTAAGTACGATGGAAATGTCCACTAAAAGACATCTATAAGAATATTCATAACAACTTTATTCATCAGGCTCCCAGATTGAAACAATGCAAAGATACATCAAATGCACAAGGAATAAATTCTGGGGTATTCGCCTAGTAAACACAAACTATTGCCACACGCAACCATATGAATGAATCTTATGCTGTTGAACAAAAAAAAGCCAGACCTAAAAAAGAGTAAATGTTATTGTTCTATGGTTCCATTTGTATGAATTTCTAAAATAAATAAAATCAAGCTATGGTGATAGGATTTGAAATAATGGTTCCTTTTGGGAGTGAATAGTGATAGCAGGGGGGCAGGAGGGAGGCTTCTGGAGTACTGGCAACATTCTGTGTCTTGACCTTGGAGGTGTACTCATTTGTAAACATTCATCACGTGGTACACTCTGGAATTACGCCCTTTACTACAGGCTAGACTTCAACAAAAATTTTACAAAACGCAAAACAAAAAAACAGGTGATGGGCTAGATTTGGTCTGCAGGCCATAATTTGCCAACTCCTAACCTGGACAGTGGAATTTTGGTAGGGTAGTTCTTCGTTTCGTTTGTCTATCTTTTCTAATTTTTTAAAATCAAGTGTATGCAATTTTAATAATACAAAGCTTTTAAAATATTAATTTTATTATCAAAGTAAAATAGTGGAAAAAAGACTGGACAACAAAGACTAATATCTCATTGCTAAATCAGCCATGTCTACCTTGTCCAAATGAGAGGTTTCAAGTGCAAAAGGAAAAATTCACCAAGAAATCAACATTTTCAGCAGTCAACGTTTTAGGCAATCAATTAATATAACAATAGGATTCTAACAGTTGGCTCCTCCTCTCATTAAGAATTAGCTCAAATTAAAGCTGGCCTCTCCCTAAAATGAAGTCACATTTTATTCACAGTGCACTGATCTGAAACTACTTATATGTGTATGTGTTTTCTGTCTGTATTTGTCCAATAGAATGAAAACTTCAAGGGGGCAGAGCCCTTGTCAGTGTTGATCACTGCTATATGCACAGGTCCTTGAAGAGTACTTGACACATAGGAAATCAATAAATACTTGTTGAATAAATTAATAGATTATGTGAATTTCAAAAGATGATCAAATTATGTCATAATAGCTAATCAGATAATCTGTGCCTTAATAAAAGAGACGGAATAGAAGCCGGGTGCGCTGGCTCACACCTGTAATCCCAACACTTTGGGAGGCTGAGGTGGGCGGATCACCTGAGGTCAGGAGTTCAAGACTAGCCTGGCCAACATGGTGAAACCCCATCTCTACTAAAAATACAAAAATTAGCCGAGCATGGTGGCAGGTGCCTGTAATTCCAGCTACTCGGCAGGCTGAGGCAGGAGAATCGCTTGAACCCAGGAGCAGAGGTTGCAGTGAGCCAAGTTCGTGCCATTGCACTCCAACCTGGGTGACAAGAGTGAGACTCCATCTCAAAAAAAAAAAGAGATGGAATAAACTGTTAAAGCATAGTATGCCTATAGTATTAAATCACTGAAACAAGATAGAAAAAAAGGTTTTATTATGTGTCTTACAACTCAGGGATCGCCCCTAAAAAGACTGAGATTCAATGGTCATCCTAACTTAGCTGCTGAGAAAATCTTCTCTTAATACTCGAAAAAAGGTCTAAATCCTTAAAAAATAAACAAATTTACAGCCTAGAAAATCCAGTTCTATTGCAGATATATAACATCAAAGAGCACGAGGTAAAAAACAAACTGAGATAGTTGGACCTGGTCCTAACAGTCCAAGAAAGGACTCTCGGTCATTGAAAGGGGGCTTCAGGAAGTAAAATCTGCTACTGCTGCTGCTATAATATCAGCATTTATTGAGCTCTCACTATGCTGAACACTTCAACATATCTGGTCTCATCTGATCTTTATAACAATCCTATAAGGGTCAGAGGGACCAAATAACTTGCCCAAGACCACATAGCTAGTAAGTAGCTGAGCTACATCTGAATGCAGATTCCTGTTGCCAAAGCTCATACTCCCAATTCCTATGCTCTACAGCTTCCTTTTGTTTTAGGAAGTATGTAAACATTCAACAGCTCAGTTTTAACTGCACCTTCACTGATTCATAGCATTTGATGAATCCCAGATGGTTTCCAAGTTTTCAAAGCCCTTTTGAGGGGCTGAGACAAACCTATGTGTCTAAGCAAAATTAATGTTTAACATATGGTCTGGGGAGGAAACAATGATTTACTGAGCACTTACTACACTAGGTGCTCTATCTTCCTTATCTCATTTAATCCCCACAACAGTTCTATGGATAGAAATTATTCTCATCATATTTAGATAAGACCATTGGACTCTCAGGGAAGGTATATACCCTCTGAGTGACAGAGCCTAGATCTGAACCCAGGTTTGGCTGTTTCTTTTGGCTATGCTCTTTCTAGTTTACCTTGGGGATAGGAGACCCTGAAGCTTTCTGTATCATGCTGCCCATAAAGGGACAGAGTTGAGAACTCAAGGTGCTGAAGGGTCAGAATAAAGGAATGAAGGAATAATATGTTATGTTAGATTAATCAAAGATGGCCTCCTGGAGATATGCTATATGAGTCGTTTCAAAGGAGATGAGGGAAAGGCAGAACTCATGGAGAAGATACTAAAAGGCACCCAGGAAGCAAAAAGAGATGATGGAAAATGCACAAAATCTAAAAATCCATAATATAATCATCTCAGTAATCATTACCAAGCTCTTACAAAATACATTTAAGTAAATCTTACTTTGTTAACAATAAACAAACCCCCTAACATTATGTACATGCCAAATGAACTAGCAATTCTCCTTAAGATGCCGGTTCAAACTAGGACAGGTTATTAATGCTTTAATGTAGCTAATCTCTAACAAATAGCCATTTGTTGGTTGATGTAAAAGGAGCTGGCAATTTCCAGTGATGGCTTTTCTTGGTAAGTCTGTATTTCAACACCACTCTTGGCTGCCAATAAGTGTCAGTTTCAGCAGAAACTATCCTTCCCCAGGGTAAGATCCCTTGGGGTCTGGGGTACAGCACCTAATGTGGGAAGAACATGGCAAGAACGTATCTGGAGGGAACACAGCTTTTCCAAAATCATTCAACAGCTTTCCATCAGCATTTGATCTTTGATGACAAACCAACGCTATCAACCAACAACAAAATAGGAGGAAAAGGAGAAATTAAAAAAAAAACAACCTTAATATCAGTATGGGCATATCTAAATATAAAAGTAACCATTAACCTTCAGTCATTAAAAAAAAAAAAGATCACTACTATAATTCCTGAAGTTCTATTTCTAAAAGCTGGAATCCAGATAAAGCCTTTAGCTTTTCTTTGTACACCACCTTAGAGTGGCAGCTCATAGAATGCAAAGCTATGGCCATTTTTTTCCCATTCATTTTGGAAGGAAAAAAAGGGACTCTGTATAATTCAGGAAACTTCCACAACAAAGCCATGCTGCCCACACTAGACGGATGCCCTAACTACTGCTCAATTTTTCTTTCATTCATCTCTCATCAATCCCTTATTCAACCGTGCACGTTAACAGTGCTCTTCACTTTTTCTCCGGACTCCAAGCTCTACACTCTATTCCAGGAGCTTGCCAACCTCCTCTCCTCTCAAAATGCCCCTGAATATTTAACTACCCTTGCAGAGAAAGAAGTTTCCATCCACCCCTTCTTACTAGAGGTAACCTTGCTTCCACCTGTGCTCCCGATGTCATCCTTTCCTACAGGACCTCCCTCAAAAATGTGCCAGTAACGAAATTTCACCATCTTTGATAGACACGCTTCTTCTATACAATTCCCAGGTCCCATTACCTTCACCTCCAGTATCTCTGGCATCTACTCTCAGAACACTTACTTTTCCCACTGCCTACACTAAGGCTGGTCATCCTCTCCGCTCACTTAGACAGTGGCAACATCTATCCTCCTGATGGCTCTCTCTGTTTCTGATCTCTCACCCCTTTCAATTCATCAGGTCTAATGTACCAGCTTCATCCTCTAAAACACAGCTCTGACTTCACTTTTCTACTTAGGAAGCTCTAATGTATATTTAAAAGCTTTGGTATACTAGTTATATACAAAACGACTTTCAAAGTTCCTATCATGTCATTTTTTTTTTTTTTCTCAAGACAGAGTCTTGCTCTGCCGCCCAGGCTGGAGTGCAATGGTGCCATCTCGGCTCACTGCAACCTCCGCCTCCTGGGTTCAAGCAATTTTCCTGCCTCAGCCTCCCAAGTAGCTGGGATTACAGGCACGCACCACACACCCAGCTAATTTTTTGTATTTTTAGTAGAGACAGGGTTTCACCATGTTGGCCATGCTGGTCTCGAACTCCTGATCTCGTAATCCGCCCGCCTCGGCCTCCCAAAGTGCTAGGATTACAGGCGTGAGCCACCGTGCCCAGCCCCTATCATGGCATTTTAAGCCCTCCAAAGAGCTGGTCCCAATCCACAGTGTTTCTAAATTACCCTAGGCTCTCTCCAACAAGAGAAGCATAACAGTACAGTACAGCTACCACTTACTGAATGCTTACTCGATGCCATTCATTCTGTTGTCCATTTTTAAATTATTCATTTTTGAAGGCCTTCCATGTCTCGGGTACATTCTAAGCACTGGGAATGCAGCAGTGTACCTCAGACAAAAAGCTCTGTCTTCAAGGAACTTACAATTCAAGTGAGAGAGATGGACAATAAGAAAATAAGTAAAATATTACATGGTATATGAGATGGTAATAAGTGCTATGGAGAAAAATAAGGCAGAAAAAGGCAATAGGGAATAGTAATGGGGGTAAGATTTTTGTTTTTTTTTAGACGGAGTCTCGCTCTGTCGCCCAGGCTGGAGTGCAGTGGCGTGATCTTGGCTCACTGCAAGCTCCGCCTCCTGGGTTCACACCATTCTCCTGCCTCAGCCTCCTGAGTAGCTGGGGCTACACGTGCCCGCCACTACGCCTGGCTAATTTTTTTGTATTTTTAGTAGAGATGGGGTTTCACCGTGGGGTTAAGATTTTAAAAAGGGTGGTTAGGGAGTGGCTCACTGAGAAGGTGAAATTTGAGCAAAGATCCAAAGGAAAGGAGGGAACAGGCCACAAGGATATCTGGGAGAAGGTAATTCCGGACAGGGAACAGAGAGCAGAAAGCCCCCAACCAAGAGAATCCCACATTCATGCAACAGCAAAAAAGTCAGTGTTACTGGAGCCAAGTGAGCAAGGACATACATAGTAAGACAGTGAAAACTGAGGCCAGATCATACAGTGCAATTTTAAGAACTTTACCTGCAGTGAGACAAAGCTATTGGATGCTTTTGAGCAGAGGAAGGTAACAATTCGACAAGTTTTTCAATGATCACTCTGGCAGGTGTGCAGAGTAGTGGGCAAGAACAGAATCGGGGAGACCGGATAAAACAATGATGCTGGCTTAGACCAGGGTGGTGGTGGTTACAGAGGAGGACAAGATGTGTTGATGGGTTAAACTGTGGAGTATAAGAGAAAAAAAGTGGCCAAAGATGACTTCAAGGCTTTTAGACCAAGGAACCAGTAGGACACAGGAGCAATTTACCAATTGCAACAGCAGGAGGAGTACATACTTAGAGGGGAGAAGAAATATCTGTAGTTCAGTTTCACACGTTAGCTTTGCGATACCTATTAGGTGTCCAAGTAAACTTGTCAGTTAAGCAGCTGGATGTATACCTTGTAGTTCAGTGGCTGGGTCCATACTAAAGACAAAGTCATCAGTGTAGAAACTGTTTCAAAGCATGGGACTAGTTAAGATCCCCAAGGAATTAAGGCAAATAGAACTGAGCCTTGGAACACTCCAATGCTTAGAAATTTGAAGACAAAAAGAAACCATCAAGAGAGGCCAAGGAGGAACAGTCAGTAGGTAAGGAAAACGTGTAAGTGTAATATCATGAGGGCTGGGAATTTACCACTGAATTTAGCAATGTGGTAGTCACTGGTGATCTTGACAGGAACAGTCTGGGGATAGTGATGAGGACAAAAGCTGACTAGAGTGGGGTCAAAAAAGATTTGGATAAGAATAACTGGCGATTGTGAGTATGGACAGGTCTTCCAAGGCCACCAGCCATGCACTGGACCGTGTGCCTTACGGTTAATTAAGAAAGAATCCTCTTAATCTTCATACCAACCTTATGAAAAGGGGCCATTTATTAAGCCCATTTACAGAAGAGAAAACTGAGTCTCAGAAAGTTAAATAACTTGTTCAAGGTCACATTATGTGAATGGCATGGATGGGACTCCAACCCAAGTTTGCCTAATTCCAAAGCCTAAGATTGGCAACTCTGTGATGGAGCCTCCAAATCCTTGGGAGGAGGTGGCTTTGACCTGTTCCTGTTCCCTGGAATTTACTGGTTCTTTAACATTAAAAGCCAGTCCTTTTTGGGAACAGTAAAGCAGACCCCCATTTTCCCAGCTGACAGCCTTCGTAAACTCGTCAGTGCTCCTAGAATGAAGTCATTCCCAAACTAACCTGAGTTAGGAAGCACTGATCCTTTGCCATTCTTCACATCCACCACCCAGGTGGCCTCTTTACCCCCAGGGCCATCTTTCACCTTGAAGGCAAAAATACCACCGATTTTCTTCACAAACTGTTCCCCTTCCTGGAAAGAAAAATAACACTGGGGTTACATTAAGTCCATTTCTCTGGCTTTCTCCTCAAGCAAATTCATGTTTAAATAGATACATGATATGAGTATACGGGCCAGGGAGCGGTCCCCAAGGTCCCTTATGATCTTTTACCCAGAAAAGTCTGAAAGGCAAGCAGGCAACAACTCCCACATCTGCCAAGTCTTTTATTAAAAATGGCTTTTTAAGCCAGCCATGGTGGCTCATT